>NC_000001.11:239668970-239820485 GCF_000001405.40 Homo sapiens | reverse complement strand
GTCCTTTTTCCAAGTTTTCATCAACTGAACAGATATCGCAGGAGGGAAGACGAAAGTCTGCCAACATATCGGGATAGACTTTTTGTCACACACCATCATCTGCTCTGTGGCCCCAACAGACTTTGCCCCAGACAACTGTCTGTTCCTCAAGCCCATTAAATTCCCCTAAAAATCATTTACTAACCGCCTAGAATCACCCACACTTCCTACCTCCCTTTCCCTAAGAAGTAGTATGTATAAGCGTCTGTGCACCACTGGGATACTGGGTAATTGTTCTGTGATTCTCCCTGTGTGCACAGTAGGAATAAATGTATAAAGACTTTTTTCCCATTAATGTGCCTTATTGTGAGCTGATTTTTCAGCGAACCTTCTGAGGGTAAAGGGGAAGTGGTCTATCGTTGTTTTGGGCTTGAGGGTTCGGAAACAGGTTGTGTGAATTACCCTGGAGCTCTCACCGACATGGTAAACACAGGGTGTGACCTCACCCACCTTCTCACTGCCCAGTGAGCACAGGTTCGGCCACTAGTCTCCAGGCATCCGGTTGGACAGGCTGTGTCTAGAAATCATGGTCAGGGAATGAGTGGGGCAATGCTGTGGGGAGGGAAGTACGGAATTCCATGGCAATCACATTGTCTCTTCTTCCGTGAAAACCAGAAGATGACTGGCAGGAAGAAAAGCTCTTAGACACCTCTCGTCTGCTCTGTGCTTCAAGCCTCACTACAAATAACACATTCACAAAAGGATCTCATTTTGATTTAGCAGGTCTGCATATGTCTAAGCTCATGGTGATTGTGCCTTACTGATATTTTTACCATACGAGCTTCTTTAATGAACATTTCAACACAGAAAATACTTCTCACAGCCATCTCATGTTATTACCTGATCTTTCCATTAATCTTTCCTACAGGCTTTTATATATTTATTGAACTTTTTGATCAAATTTCCCCGATTGCTTAAATATGTATGTAGCTCAATGAACTATTTTGCTTAACGCAGACAGGCAGTAATAGGAAATTGAGGTCAGATACAGGCTGAGCTAGAAGCAACTGTGGACTCATACTTTTCTTCCTCTGAAGGAGCAACAGGACCCAAAATGATAGCTGATCGGAAGAAACAGTGGAAACCTCAGAATGTGTAAAGTGTTGATCTAAGCCCTTCAAGTGCATGAATGAATTTCCACCTGCCTGTCCAGAGATCTCCTGCAGGGGGACCTAAGAGACCTATCTGTGACTGTGGGGTCTGTGCCTACTAGCCTCGTTTATTTGGGGTGACATCGACTGGAAGGAGAGCAGGTTAGGGGTGCAACAAGGTAGAGCTTTTAAGGAGCGCAAATCTATCTGCTTGGCCAGGGACTCCAGTCAGGTAGTCGCCTGGCTGAGTGGCAGAAAGTTGAGAGGATAACTGGCTCATGTTAAACAAAGTTTATGGGAAGCCATTGTTTTAGACTGAGCTCCTGCACTAGGCCCCAGCAGACCAGGCCAAAGCAGAGTGGAGCCACTTGTGTTCAGTATCACATAATCAAACTGAACTTGGAAATGGGTCACTCTTCCAAACAACAGGAGCTTCACAGCAACCAATCGGAAGGGGCCCAGTTTACCTGAGCATGCATCATAAGGAAGTCCACTTAGCTTTAACCCTGTTAGGAGGGTAACTCTGAAATGTCCAATCTGCTTTGTGTTCTCTGTTTCTGCCTTCTTCAGCCCTTTCCTGCCCATAAAGCCAACTCCGTCTGCTCAGCTCAGCAGAACATCCATTCTATTTCATAGCATGAGGTGTTGCCTAATTCTAGAATTGCAAATAAAAGCCAATTAGATCTTGAAATTAAGCTTGTCATAAATTTGGACACAGGGAAGCAGGCATCAATAGCACAGGCCATGCTCTCCGGAGTACAAACTCCAGAAATGAGAGGCTGGCCCTGTGTGAGAAGCAGGGCTACGGTGCTCTTAGTCCATGGACTGCACTGAGAGCAGGACTCCAAGATGAGGCAGACGCATCCATATGCTTTAAAGACTGGACACCAAGGAGCTTCCAGGGAGTGGAGGAAGCTCAGAAAGGGTGAGGGCAAATGTCACTGTGCCCCTATGATGTATATTATGGACTGAATTGTGTTTTTTAAAATTCATAGTTTGAAGACCTAATCCCTCATGTGGCCAAATTTGGAGACAGGGCCTTTAGGGAGATAATTAAGGTTAAATGAAGTCCCAAGGTTGGGGTCCTAATCCAGTAGGATGGGTGTTTTTGTAAAAGAAGGAAGGTAAATCAGAGTTCTCTTTTTGTGGGTACAGAGAGGAAAACTCATGTGAAGACCCAGTGATAAGGCGGCCATCTACAATCCAGGAAGAGAGCCCTCACCAGATATCAACTCTGCCTGCACCTTGATGTTGGATTTCCAGCTTCCAGAACTGTGAGATAGAAATGTCCTTCGTTTAAGCCGCCCAGGCTGTGGTGTTTTGTTGTGACAACCCAAACAGATTAAGAAAATGTGCCAAATACCAGGCATACTATTAGCTCGTCTAATTCTCAAAGCCTGTGGGTAAGGCAGGCTTTATTATCGCCATTTCATAGATGTAGAAACAGGCTCAGGAAAGGAAAGTCATTTCTCTAAAGTCGCGTGGCTAGTAAGTGGCACCTGACATGTGAACAAGGGGTGGGCTGAGAGGGTGAGAGGGTGGTGGACAGTAACATTGTAGCTGCTTAATGGGACGGAATCACAGTTCCCTGAGTGTGCCAAGGAAGATTTCTTTCTAAAAGTCTGAGCTTAGAGATCTGTGCGAGTGTGTGTGTGTGTAGAGGGAGCACTGTGAGTTTTCGAGGGAGGAGATGGGGGTCTTGCATGTGTGTCCTTGTGCATTTTGGGTGGACAAACTAGATGAGAACAGGTGGGTGGGGGTGGAGGCTAAAGGCAGAGGAAGCCAAAGACAGTGCCTCCAGTAGCCCGTGGGAAGCTTCCTCATGCCTTTGAGATATTGCAGGAGGTCCCAGAGCTCTGGCCCATGGTGATCTCAGTGGTACTGGATTCTGTCTTAAAGATTTGGGCAGTTCTGGGGGTGACACAATTAGGGAATATGACTCACATCAAACTGACCATGAAATACCAGTTGAGAAAGGAAAAGTAAGAAGAGAAAGATAGTTTTGCAAATGAGTCAAGGTTACATAGATGGAAGGAAGAGCTAGCCTGGATTTAAACAGATCTTCATGGTTTCACAGTGAACTTCAAAATTACTCTTTTAGTCTCCAGAGCTCCAGGACAGCCTCAGAGCCTTCAGGGTCTGGTCTTGCTTTCCCCACAGGGCAATGGTATAAGAGGTGGATATTCCTGTCTCCGTGGAGAGAAGACAGGCATAGTAAACCCTTAGGAGGCACTGTCTGTGTCCATATATTATGCAAAGCTTTTGGCATACATCAGCTCACAGTGCCTCACATGTGCTAATATCATCCCTAGTTTATTGATAAAGACTGAGGCAGCTGGGCGTGGTGGCTCACGCCTGTAATCCCAGCACTTTGGGAGGCCGAGGTGGGGGAGTCAGGAGTTGGATACCAGCCTGGTCAACATGGTGAAACCCTGTCTCTACTAAAAATATAAAAAAATTAGCTGGGCATAATGGTGGGCACATGTAATCCCAGCTACTCAGGAGGCTGAGGCAGGAGAATTGCTTGAACCCGGGAGGTGGAGGTTGCAGTGAGCTGAGATCGTGCCACTGCACACCAGCCTGGCAACAGAGTGAGACTCCCTCTCAAAAAAAAAAAAAAAAAGACTGAGGCACAGACAGGCTGGATATTATTTCTGCAGTTTCTTCAGTCACACAGGCAGAATAGGGCTTAGTCAGGCTTTGAGCCCAGGCAGTCTACTAGATTATGCTGCCCAGTGGCTTCCTGAAGAAATCCACCTTGCTTGGTACTTCCTGGACCAGGAGAAGGGCAAGCAGGCCTGGGGAGCAACATTCTGAGCTTGTTATCTGGAGGTCTGGGATTGATTCCCTCCCTCTTCTGCCTGTGCCTCAGTTTGCCTTGCTTTAAACAGTGTCATGCAATATAGATCTTACATATAGATGCTCTGTGGGGATTAGTGAGGGAATGCTCAGAAGTTATTAATAAAGCTTCTCAGCAAAACAGGATTACGTAGATTTAAAAAAAGGAACAAAAAAAGGAGCAACACCGGTGGAGTAGTGAAGCAAGACTGTATTAGGAAAGACCACGTCTTTGAAGAAAGGCAAACACATTCCCTTGGCCTGAATCAGCCTCATGGGAGGGGCAGCAGCAGCCATCAATCGCAAAGCACCGCCTTCTCTGCATTCTGGATGCTTCTCTGCAGCTCAGAAGCTCTGCCAGCTACTAGGCCACCTAGATGGCAGCAAACTGGTGGGTGGGTGAATCCTCTGGATATGTGACAATTGGGAGGAGGGTGTGAGGGCAATAAGCTGGCATGGAAGTCTGTTCTTTTTTCCCCCCCAGAATGAGAAAGTTTTAGCAAAAGAAAAAAAAAAGACAAACCAGACTGAAATGTATTGATATCTGATGAACTACACTGACCCAGAAATACTATCTAATTTGTTATTGAGACAGAAGCACCATATTGATTTTGCTGAAGTGCTGTCACTGCGCATCATTCATCTGGAGAAGAGTTAATTAAGAGTGCAGTTTAAAGATGCATAAAACCTGGACCTAAGATGTAGCCTCAGACCGAGGCACCATGTGCTCCAAGATCAAATACAGGTCCCAATATGAGAACGCCTTCAGCCTCCTCCCAAAGTCAATTTACCTCTGCTCATTGTTCAGCTATCATTTTGTTTTGCATTTGAGTTGGTTACCAGTAGGCTGAATTAGACCTACCCTGTGGTAAATGTGCTGGCATTTTCTTTATGCTTTAGTCTATAAGCTTATTGTTTTCAAATTTTCAAATTACTTTTTTGCAAGATGTAAGCTTTCAGAACCACTGTACTATATGCTTGGTTTAAATTACTGTAACTCCCAAAACAAGCATAATGTCATTCACATGAAAATAGGGGTTTATATATTGCTTATGAAATCAGAGAAAAAGGCAGGAGGGGACTTTAAAAGTTTTGGACAAGCCTTTTAATTTTACAAATAACAAAACTTGATTAAAAATGCAAGAGAAAAACTCCACAAGACAAAAGGATGAGAGTTTAAATGCCCGGATTAAAGTCACACATTTCCTCCGGTCGGTGAGTCATGAGAATGGGTACATTTTGATATGTCCTGACAGTACAGAGGAAGGCATAGATAAATCAGCACAGCTACTTTCAATTTTACTGATAAATCCCTCTCAACTGGCTTCAGTCTTAAAATTTACTTTTTCTCTACTATCCAATAACATGACACAGTGCTAAACTGCATCAAAAAAGATCAATGGGTACTTTGCCAGAGAAAAGAAAAGGAAAAGCAAACAGCGGGCCGGGCATGGTGGCTCATGCCTGTAATCCCAGAACTTTGGGAGGCCGAGGCAGGTGAATCTCTTGCAGTCAGGAGTTCCAGACCAGCCTGGCAAACACGATGAAACCCCATCTCTACTAAAAATATAAAAATTAGCCAGGCATGGTGGCGTGTGCCTGTAATCCCAGCTACGTGTCTGGGCAGGAGAATCGCTTGAAGGGAGGCAAGAGGTTGCCGTGAGCCGAGACTGCATCACTGCCCTCTAGTCTGGGCGACAGAGAAAGACTGTGTCTCAAAAAAGAAAACAAATAAATAAAAAAATAGAAAAGAAAAGCAAACGGCAGAGTAACAGGAAAAATCACTGACCTGACCGTGAGTCACCCTCAGCAGCCACTTGCTGGGCTGAAACACAAGCTATCATTTATAGGACTTCTGTGTGTGGACCATCTTTCTCACTAGTGCATAGTCACTAATCACTTGTCTCAACTCAGGGAAGACTTAATCAGCATTAAAGGCAATCTCATTGGCATCTTGAATGATAAAGGTGCAGGCAGGTACGCATGACAGTTACCACAGAGGAAAGAAAACAGGTGCATTTCCTCCCGTGGTGAGGGCTGGGAGGCAGAGGGAGCTCTGGACATCTCTGAAATGCATGTTACATTCATCTCCAGCCCCAGGCAGCTTTGATGTGACTCATGACCATTTCTCTTACGTGTGACTAAGAGTAAAAGCTGCCAACACTGTAAGGAGAGGAGGCTGGATTTGCTGAGAAATGCACCAAACACACTCCACAGTGCCCTTCTTAAAAATCAAACATCTCCCACGAGCAAAACCTAGGTAATGCGCATGAATTTAAAATACTGAGAGAGAGAAACAAAGAGAGGGAGAACCCACACTAAAGTTCTCACTTTAAAATTAACAATTTGACTTCTCGTCCAGGGACACCTAAAATGATTATTATCCCTTGTTTAAATTTAGACTTAAATAGCCAAAAATTCCTAAATTGGCCTTCTGAGACTGTTTCTGCATTAGTTTATGTATTTATTTATTTATTTATTTTTCCTTAAAGCGAGTAATGACTTTCACAGGATTATTGTGACATCTGGGTGCAAATAAAAGGAAAGGGCTTCATCAATAGGAAGGCAGTCTACAACTGTGAGTTTTTTTTTTTTTTTTTTGAGACGGAGTCTCGCTCTGTCGCCCAGGCTGGAGTGCAGTGGCGGGATCTCGGCTCACTGCAAGCTCCGCCTCCCGGGTTCACGCCATTCTCCTGCCTCAGCCTCCCGAGTAGCTGGGACTACAGGCGCCCGCCACTACGCCCGGCTAATTTTTTGTATTTTTAGTAGAGACGGGGTTTCACCGTGTTAGCCAGGATGGTCTCGATCTCCTGACCTCGTGATCCGCCCGCCTCGGCCTCCCAAAGTGCTGGGATTACAGGCGTGAGCCACCGCGCCCGGCCAACTGTGAGTTTGATGGTTTCTGTTACTTCACTTTCTTGGGACTTCCTGAAGTCTTCTCTCTATTTTGGAGAAGACTAGGGGAGTAGAAGATATATATTTGCTGAGGCAGCTGAGAAAGATGAATGTTTGCAAAAATTAATAGTATAAAGAAACAAGTGTTTTTGGTCACAGAAGTGTTAGAAATGCCACTTTGTCATTAGTCTAATGACTTATGGACTTAGCCAGTTAGTCCAAATTATTTTTTTCTCTCTTTAAGTTTTATTTCTTAGAACCATTAATATACTGACTTGCATCTACGAATCTCTGAAGAGAGAATACAGTAAGTACCTTTTACTAAATTTATTTATTTATTTTTTTGAGACGGAGTCTCACTCTGTTGCCCAGGCTGGAGTGCGGTGGCACAATGTCGGCTCACTGCAACCTCTGCCTCCCGGGTTCAAGCGATTCTCCTGCCTCAGCCTCCCAAGTAGCTGGGATTACAGGCACCCGCCACCACGTCAGGGTAATTTTTGTATTTTTAGTAGAGATGAGGTTTCACCGTATTGGCCAGGCTGGTCTCAAACTCCTGATCTTGTGATCTGCCTGCCTTGGCCTCCCAAAGTGCTGGGATTACAGGCATGAGCCACTGTGGCTGGCCACAAAATGTATTTTTTAAAGGAAGTTTCATGGAACCAGCTTTCTGCAAGAGACCGTTCAGGAAATGGTGCAGTGATGAAAAGGGTGCACATTTTGGAGGGAGAGGCATTGGAGGGCAGACTCCAACTTTGCTATTTCCCACCTATGTGACCTTGGACATTTAACCCCTCTGAGCCTTGTGCCTCATCAGTAGATTAAAATACTTTGTACTTTCAGGTCATTGGATTGGAAATTGAGTAATGTGCTTGGCACAGGGCTGGCACAGGTAGGCACCCAGCCCATGGTGGCTAGATCACTGTTTAATTTTGCATGATAAATGGATAGTTTGCTCATTAGAAGCATATGTTTGAAAATAAATTTTTGTTTTGCCACTGTAGAAAAACACAATTAGTGTAAGTCAGCCTTACACAGACCTTTATACAAAATCACTTTAAATAAAATCTTTGAAAATTAAACCATCCAACTTTGTATTTAATTATGCAAAAACCCTCTAATCTCCTTTGTTTATCTCTCATTTTACGTAACACCTTGAGTTGTTCTACTCAGTGGATAGGGTTCTCTTTCTTACCTAAAGGCATTTACCTAATGCCACCACTGCTCAAATGATGTTAGGTACCTTACTCAGCACACACTAAATCCCATATAAAAATGATCAAATTGGCCAGCCACAGTGATTCATGCCTGTAATCCCATTACTTTGGGAGGCCAAGGCCAGAGGATCACTTGAGCTGGGGAGTATGAGACAAGCCTGGGCAACATGGCAAAACCCCATCTCTACAAAAAATACAAAAATTAGCTGGGCATGGTGGCACACACCTGTGGTCCCAGCTACTCGGGAGGCTGAGGTGGGAGAATCACTTGAGCCCGGGAGGAGGAGGGTGTAATGAGCTGAGATAGTGCAACTGCACTCCAGCCTGGGTGACAAAGGGAGATTCTGTCTCACAAACCAAAAAACCTAGCACATATCAGCCTCTTGATAGACTTTTTTATTAAACAAATGAATAAACTCATAAATCGATATGAATTAAACACTGACTTATGCCTTCTGCCTTTTTCCATGTTGCTTACTTGCAAAATCTATCCATTAGTTTGGTTGCGTCCTCATAATCAGGTATCTTCTGCTGCTACAAATTGTCTATTTTTTTTTAAAGGCTTTAAAACATCCTCAAACTGTGCTGCTTAAAGTAATATTGAAACAGCTCCTTCTCCTCCTAGAAATTTCCCCTAGAGAAACTTTTAACATTAGGTGGCCTGATAGCCACATAAAATATGCAAAGCATGAGTCAATATGCAGGTCCCATTCCGGTGTATCTTTTTCTAATTTCTAAAGGTTAGGCAGCCAATGAAACCAGCACATGCAAGAGAGAGAGACTTTGCTTTATAAGAATGCTTTACCTCATTCTATTCTGGTGAATTGTACTAGGAAAAGCAAAGTATCAAAAGTGTCAGATGCTGTCAAAGGAGTCTGTGAATAGCTTTGTTAGGCTGGAGCAGAGGAGGCTGACAGCAGATCAGGGGAGAATCTGTGGTGAGGGAAGGGCTGGGCTGCAACAGCTGAGGCTGATGTGAAGGGCTTTAGGGCACAGCAAGGAGCCTTCGGTGCAGGAGTGACAAGATCAAAGTGTCTGGCAAGGAAGCTAATTTTCACAGCGGTCTTGGATGGCCTGCATGGGAGACAATGGGTCTTGCGGTTAGCATGTCAGCACGCTTTCTGGCGCCAATTGTGCTGCCACATCATAAGAGCTAAAATAAATCTAATGGCAGACTACCTAGGAAACACAAAACGCATGAACCTCATTGTGTGGGTCTGCTCTCCAGTCACAGCACATCCTCTGGGATACCTTGAAATGCTATTGGGATTTTGAGTCAGGACGGCTTCTATCAATAAAACAAAACAGTTCAAATTCATAAACTGTTCGAATTCAAAAACACTTTAAAAGGAAGGACACTTTTAATTCACACATATATGTTTAATTTGACTATGAATAGGCAAGATATGAAGGTGGTTCTGTGCTTTTAGAGACAAAACTTATGGCGATTCCAAGGATTTCTTTGGAAGCCGTAGCTCAGTTAGAACCTGTACAAACAGGGATAGGTACTTGGTAATGAAATTTATTCTTACAGATGGCGATTTTCAGAAATGTTACCAGGGCACAACACAGGATGTGAATGGTCAAATGAGGACAACTACTGCTCTTGGCCTCAAAGGGTTGATAAACAGGTAGCAGTGTTTAATCACAACTAAATAGTTCAACCTCATGGGTTAGCTCTCACTAACAAGTGATCAAGGTGCCTTTGGCCTTGGCCAAGGACATGCCGATAATAATTATAATTACTCTGAATTTAACATTTGTCACTCGGCCCTCAATGGTGGCTACTGGAAAATGCAACTTCCAGTAAATCTCAGGCAAATAACATTTGGGATAAGTGACATGGGTTGAAATTCTTGAATCCTAAACACATCATTTGGAAATCCTCCCCCTTCTCAGTCCTCCAGGCTTGTTCCCCTCAATGATCTTGAGAAGCATTTTCTTTGATCTCACAGCAGGAAGTAACACTCCCCTTGCTGGCCTGGCTATCCTCATCCCTGAGAAGACAAGCAGCGTGGTCCCCTCCGCCCTGGGGAAACTACAGGCTGTGACTTCAGCCCCCTTATGTCTGTGGCTCTTTCTGCAACGGAGCTTCAATGGGAAGACAAAGCATGCCCTCAAGTCCCCCCGCATTCCTTGAATCTCCTGGGGAATCCGAAGCAGCAAGGATCCCTTTTTGGTGAGGATTACCTCACAGCTGGCATTTCATCACGGCCCTAGGGAATGCAAAAGGATGCGTGGAAGAAGAGTCATTATATGCTGGCAGCTGCAACACACAGATCAGCTTCTGTCCCCCAAGCTTGTGGCTTGGCACACGCAGATCAACACTACAATAATGGTGGCTGCATTCCATACGCGGCCTCCTTTGAGTGCAATGAATCTTAAGGCAGATGCAGAATCTTACCCGTCTCAAGATAAAGATCTGCAATAGCTATAACACCTCCTCCTTAGTCGAGCAGACACTACCTGCTACCTTCATCTTTACTGAATCCCTCTACCAGCCCAGGTGCAGAAGAGTGTGGCTTTCTTATCTTTTCATAAGGCCCAAACATCTCAGTGGAAAGGACAAAAGGAGACTTTGGTGAAGCAAATTGGAAAACAACTACAGTAGGCCAGGCATGGTGGCTCACGCCTGTAATCCTGGCACTTTGGGAGGCCGAGGCAAGAGGATAGCTTGAGTCCAGGCTTTCGAGACCAGCCTGGGCAACATAGGGAGACCCTGTCTGTACAAAAAAAATTAAAAATTAGTCAGGTGGTGTGACGTGCACCTGTAGTCCCAGCTACTTGGGTGGCTGAAGTGGGAGGATCACTTGAGCCTGGGAAGTTGAGGCTGTAGTGAGCTGTGATCATGTCACTGCACTCCAGCCTGGGCCACAGAGCTAGACCCCATCTCAAGAAAACAAACAAACAAAAAACAATAAAAAAACAGTAAGTGGACCTCGGACTCATTCCTAGGAAGGGGACACAGTGAGGGAAGATGGAAAGAAAAAAATGAGGAAGTGGGCGAACAGACATTGGGTTCACTGCTGGAATCTTATGGGTTCAGAAGTTGACCTTCTAAGGCCTTTGGATTAAAAATAGACTTCAGAGGCCGGGTGCGGTGGCTCACGCCTGTAATCCCAGCACTTTGGGAGGCCGAGGCGGGCGGATCACGTGGTCAGGAGATCGAGACCATCCTGGCTAACATGGTGAAACCCCTTCTCTACTAAAAATACAAAAAAACTAGCCGGGTGTGGTGGCGGGTGCCTGTAGTCCCAGCTACTCGGGAGGCTGAGGCAGGAGAATGGTGTGAACCCGGGAGGCGGAGCTTGCAGTGAGCCGAGATTGCGCCAATGCACTCCAGCCTGGGTGACAGAGCAAGACTCTGTCTCAAAAAAAAAAAAAAAAAATGGACTTCAGAGTCAAAGACCCAGACTTTGACAGGGTGAGGGAAATATCAACTCACCAACTTCTTCATTTCTTCCTTTTGTAAAAAGTAACATGCAGTGCTTAAGTGGGAACTTGACAAGACTTTACAAGTAGGAAAAAGCAGTATTCTAAATAGGCCTTTTCAATAACTGCTTGTCCACTGCACCAATACAAGCAGTCGTTTCTGATGGGTTTTCTAAGAGAGTGCTGATTTAATTCTCACAAACAGTGTATTTCTAGGAAATGCAAGTATTGGGGCAGTTCTTTGGAGGGCTATCACAGAAAGTACAGGAAAAGCCTGAGATTATGAATAAAATCAGTGGTTCACTCGCATTTCCTTCATGATCCACTTCTAGTTATAGGAAGCGGTAGGGCTTATCACGAAGAATTGGTCCAATCGATATGGCAAAAACTATCGCTAGGCATTTTAGGTGGCAAATAAGAGACTCTCATCTTTATTCCGTTAGATTTGATCTCGTACTACAGCTGGGAAAGATCACTCGCACAGGAGTGAAAACAGTTCACACAGCAGGTAATTAAGGCAGGATGAAGCTGTCCCCTTACCCACAGTGTCATTCTAGGGCAAACTCTGTCTCCCTTTGTTCGTATGTCCAACATGAATCTCCACCTTCTCTGTTGCAGATTAATCCTGTCCATAAAATGACCTAGCATTTTATTGAGTGGTATCAGAGCTGTACTGATTTACTCTGCCTGAAGGTCACATACGAGGATAAACAAAAAAAAGTATTGCAATTCCTTTCTGCACATCTGACTTCAGCTACGACTTGTCACAGGGAGCTGGAGAGCTTTCTCTAGGGCTGTCTTCCTCGAACTCCCATGGAATTTGAACTCCCATCAAAACACTGGGACTTTGGGGCTAGTCAGATATGGGGTCAAAACAACCAGTTTTTCAAAAAATAAAAAGGCAGACGATTACCGATAAAGAATTCCAAGGAATTTTGGAATATGTTTCTTTAAAAAACTTCATGTTTTATATAACTAATGAATATTCATTGCAGAACAGCTTGAAACAGAGGGAAGAAAAGAATAATGAGATAATCATAATGACTTATGATGCAGCCACCAAGCAGCAAATTCTTTTATCACTCTGGAATATCCCAGCATTTTGGGATATGTGTGCGTGTGTGTGTGTATGTGTGTGTGTGTGTGTGTGTGTGTGTGCGCAAAGCAAAAACACTCAATTACATGTACTCTCAGTTTCTTACAGCAAATCTGCTTCTCTTCTATATACTAAAAGGTATAAATGAGATTTTTAATGTGATTAAGTTGATGAGCTAAAATTTAACAGAGCATGTAAAGATCAAAGATGAAGTGAGGAAAGCCAGAAACATTTCACTTAAATATCTGAATGCAATGCATGATTACTAAGCCAAAGAAAAACTATTTATCTGGCCTGAGAATGTTATTTAAATCCCAGGCTCATTCATGCTAAACAGAGGCAACATTTTCCATTCACTTCTCCAAGGCTTCTCTTCTGGTGGAAGTAACCCCTCCTTTCATTCCCCCTGTAGCATTCCTATTTATGGGCTTAATGCCCACAATTGAGAAGGATAAGTTTAGAAGGTGTTCATTGCCAAAATGATGATATTTAAATGGTAGGTCAATTTTAAACAAGGTGACTTTTTCAGGTTGTGCCAATCTGTAAACATTATTCTTGCCATAGTACTATAAATGAAAATCCAATAATAAAAAGGCCAGAAGAAGAATTATTTAGAATGATGTATTAAGGAGTTGGAGCTACTTTTCTTTCTCTAATGAAGTAAAAAGAAACTGCATTTTAAAGTTTAAAAAGTCACATAATCTTCCACCTAAATAGGACTTTTATTTCTTTTATGTTCTTATTGTGTTCACAATCAAAACCTGCAGAAGAAAATATTTGTCAAATCATCACATTTTGCTTTTGGATGCAATCATCTAATACCAACCCCAAATAAAGAAATTATATTAATGGAAATTTTCATTATTATCACCATCAAAACTCATGTGGAGCCAGGAACAAGTAGAATATTCTCTGGCTTGGGTGCAGCCTATGGAATGACGGCAGGTACTACTCTCAAAACAGAATGTACGCTTCTTTGGAATTCTTCTGTGAACAGTTTATTAATTTTACGCCTTGAAAGGTAATGGAAGTACACCTAGTATTGCCAGATACTCTATCTCTTCTTCCAGCATTTCTCCTTATTGGCCAGCATTGCCTATTCTGAACAACTAAAAGAAATTAAAAAGTTAAAATGTACCTCTTTTTTAGAAAGCAGAGATAGCATGCAGGTATGTGTATGTTTTCTACAATATCTACAATATGTGCGTTTCTCAAAGCGAACACAGTAACTTTCGTCTCCAAGAGGAAGCCCTGCCTGTATGGCTCATCCCCACACTCCCAGCCACGTGACTTGCAACTATGCAGGCCTAATGCATCTGGCCTACTAATTCACTTACTGCTCTCCATTTAATTCCTGCAGTCAATCCTATTTTTTCCTAAGCACACCCATCTGCTCCCAATAGATTCAACAATTACAATCTCTGGATGTCCACAGGGGTGTGTGTGTGTGTGTGTGTGTGTGTAACTCCATCCTGGATGTCCACAGGTGTGTGTGTGTTGTGTAACTCCATCCTGGATGTCCACAGGTGTGTGTGTGTGTGTGTTGTGTAACTCCATCCCATTGGATACTGCAGGTCTGCTTAACACCTGGAAGTGCAAGTGGCTTCACAAGCAAATGAGGCCAAAGCAATTTTAAGCAGACAGTCGGGAGACTGGAAGATCAGACATTCTGAGGTTTTTCAGTTGTTGTTCAAAGCTGGGAAAAAGGTGCCACTGAATTAGAGGCTGGCAGCTGAGGGCTAATTACGACATCTCAGAACTTCTCTCAGGGATTTTCAGCCAGGAGTGGAGTCAGGGTTTGAAGTGGACCTATGCCAAAGGTGTCTGAGCCGGCTGGGTTCCCCCACAGACTAGGGAATCAAAAGCTTTCAAAATGCAGAATCAAGCTCCAAGAGAGATTCCTGTTTTGTTTTGTTTCGTTTTTAACGTGGTAATGAAATTGCAACTATCAAGATGCCAGGAAGAAACCGTGAAAGCAAACCTCTTTAGAACTAACCAAGAAGGGAAATCAAGTGCTTTTATGTTAGTACAGTTAATAATAATAAAAATAATGAGGCCAATAATAATCTTTGCAGAGTGTTTTATACTTCGTAAAACATTTTAAAGTACACTGGTTCATTTAGCTCTTACAATAATATTCTGATATATATGGCAATATATTTTTATTACTCAAAAAATGTAACTAAGGAGAATATACCTATGTGTGAGTATATATAGATGTGTATACACACACACACACACACACACACATTCACCCCACCTGCCTCCTATCAAGGCCCTAGACTTCAGGAAAGGTCAGCTGGAGCAGAGGCTTTAAAAAAGCATGAAGGAGGCAGTTCTTCTCACTTTGTTTTCTCTCCTAGCTACTTCTATTGTCCCCTCTTCCCCTCTTCTCTTAATCCTCCACTTGTCTATGTATAATACCTAAGTTATAAGCTTCTTCAGATAAATTCTCAATAGGTACTTGCTGATAGACCTGCAGTCAAAGGTATTTATCTGTTCAGTGGATATGGGTAAGTGAAGGGTCCCGAGTGAAATGGCGAACTTAGCTCCAGGCCTATGAGTTATAGTTCATGATTAAGCAAAACATATCCCTCTTAGGTAACACCAGAGGTCATGTCATCTGCGCTGGACTAGCAGGTCTGCCAGTGATTCACGGTCTGAATGAACCTCACTGAGTTTCATCCATGAAAAGGGCATGACACCATCCTCCCATTTGCAGGGATTAAATGAGATGCCAAGTGTGAAATAGGTATCCCAGTGTGTCATGAAACATAGCAATCTTCAACACAGGGTAACTATTACTCTTGTCATTATGACTTGTTTTAGGTCCAGAAGGGAAATTATGTAAGAGTTAAGGAAACGGGCAGAGGATAGTTTCAGAATGTGGAAGAACAGGAGATGGAAATGAGTTAATGATCTTTGAGAAGAATTAGCAGAGACTAAATAGTAGAAATAGTAATACCAGGAAGTGATAAAAGCGAACATTTTAAAGAGAAGAAAAGAGCTGGCACAAGACACAGCCGGACAGAGACAGATTAAGGGGAAAATATATGAGTGCAAAATGACACAGAAAACAGTCAATGCGAGAGGCGAGGGAAGATTTTGAAGAATCATAATTCTATCTTCTGCTGCCTCCTCGGCATCGATTAGGAAGAAGGCGCTGCATTTAGCTCGAACCGAGTTGCAGGATTTGGGGATGAACTTGCACGTGCCCCATGGAGGGATGTGACTGCACAGGAAAGATTCTATGGAGTTCAAAGTCATCATCGGCTCCTTTCCTTTTGAAACCCAACTGCAAAAACAAACTCTCTTAAAAACAAATGGCAGTTCTGATCCAAGTGAAGACGTCACTGGCAACAGTAATAAGTGGTAGGCAGGACCTCCGCCTACACAGAGCGGAAACAATGTAGCTCAAATGCCCTAACTTAAAAAATTTCCCAAGAGAAAATGTCAAACAAAACCCTGCCACAGTTCTCTACCACAGAAAGAGCAACTTCCACATTGCAGTCCACTATGAATAATAATAAAAAAAAAACACAATGAATGACCTTTGAGGATACAATGGGATGAACTGAAGGAAAGAAGTCAATTTCTCCTCATGATCATGGTATCTCATTCTTCACTCCTGCGTTTTATTCAGCTTCTATTCATAATATGCTCCCACCTTCCAGTGCTTTTGCTCTTGGAAATATCTCAAAAGACTGTCGATTTTGTAAAGCCACATTCCATGGATTTTCACAGTA
This sequence comes from Homo sapiens, assembly GCF_000001405.40. Lineage (NCBI taxonomy): Eukaryota > Metazoa > Chordata > Mammalia > Primates > Hominidae > Homo > Homo sapiens. The sequence continues at coordinate 239,804,134 of NC_000001.11, read as the reverse complement.
AAATCATAAACCTGTCATCACTAAGGAGAGATAAAAGCTCCCTGAGAAGGGACATGCTGCCTCTCTCCTGTTGCCACAATGCCTTCTGCTGCTGGAGGCTATAAATCCTCCAAGAGTCAGAGTTTAAGTGGTAAATTGATTTGTTTGGCAATTCTTGCAAGTCTTAGAAAGGCAGGAAACCAGTCTGTCTGCTCTCATACCCAGGGCTACCTCCGCAGAGTTAAATTCAGACAAACGTGCTATCACGACTTACTGCAGTTACCGGGATCTCCAATAGGTGGTTCTGAGAGGGTGGGTGGGTGACCCACTATTCTGCTTCACTTGGTGGAACCCCGCTCTGCTTGGCAATGTGGTATATACTCTTAGCTTGCCTGCATCATTTGACTTGATCACCCTGATCACCTACCCCCTGCCTTCCACACTTGATTTTAGTAGCTGACTATAAAATTCACATGAAGGGGAAAAGGTGATCTTCAAGAACGTCATCTATGATTAAACTTGACATGATCAGATCTTCGAACATCAGTGAGGATGGCTGAAGGCACCTCATGAAATTCAAGGCTCCACGTATCAGCTCTGTCTCATAAAAGGGAAAATATTCCCTAGGACTCTTGCCTAACATACTGATATAATATACTTTCCTGGGAAATACACATATTTAAAAAACAATTTTGTAAGCCAATTCATGGTTTTGAAAAGAGTGTGATAGTGGAGCTACTTGCCCTGCATTTTTAAAGTAATTATTCTTTTCCTTTTCCCCACAATAGCCAAGGAAGTAAATACTATGAAGACACGTACTTAAATTTACCTGTAGAATGTGCTCTAAGGAAAGTGGTCTCCGAATGTATTGCCTGGAGTTAGGCTTTTGTGTTGTAATAACAGACTATCAAAATAGCCTGGCACAATGGAGTCTTGCCCTACTCCAAACTAGAAAGGAGATAAGACACGCGAATGTTTCCTAACCTCCTTGTTCATTAAGAAAATAGAGCCTTCACCATGTTACCCCCAAAAAAGGGTTTGAGAGTATTTTATATTGTGATGTAAGGAATGCACTGTGTTACCCATTACAGGGATATTTGTATTTTAAAACAATGAAAGAATATGGCAAAGTTTAGCATGGACCACAGATTGCATATAGTGGATTTTAGGCTTTACTAGAAGAGAGATTTTTCTGTGAGGCAGCTTCCTTGCACCTCAAAGTCAAATCTCAAATTAAGATTTAGAAATAACTACATCCAGCTAGGAGAGGTGGCTCATGCCTATAATCCCAGCACTTTGGGAGGCTGAAGCAAGCAGATCACTTGAGCCCAGGAGTTTGAGACCAGCCTGGGTAACATGGTGAAACCCCATCTCTACAAAAAACACAAAAATTAGCTGGGCGTGGTGGTGCACACCTGTAGTCCCAGCTACACGGGAGGCTGAGGTGGGAGGATCACCTAAGCCCAGGGAGGTTGAGGCTGCACTGAGCCTTGATCATGCTACTGCACTCCAGCCTGGGCAACAGAGTAAGACCCTGTCTCGAAAACAAAAACAAAACTAAATAACTACACCTGCTATTTACATGTAAAGTGGGTCCTATGACCCCCTGCTTCTTTTCCTCCCAAATGTGATATACTGTTTTACTGCTGCTGTTGGACAACAGAGGGCACTGAGAAGCCTTTTGATGGGATCATTCGCAAAGCACTCACAGGGGTAGTGGTGTTTTGAACAGCCTTACTCTGATGTTTTCAGCTCCTGCTGTATTTCTTGGTTAATGAACTATGTTAAACTTTAGCATATTCTCAACCATCGACATGAAATAACATACAAAGTGATAATCCTGTGTGGTTCAGATAATATTTTTTTCTATGGCACATGCTTAATTGTTTGTTATTAGCTTGAAGGAGAGAGAGAGATAAAATTCAAGGTTTTTGCATACCCTGGGATCTACCAATGATATCAGTCATGTCAGCTTACATCATTTCAAAGCTGCTTGGCTTCATCCAAACTTGAACTTGTACAAAGTTTCACTTAGTAGAAACAATCCAGAATTTCTCATTTTTGGAAATGTCAGGGATTCATTATAGTGAATAGAAGAGAACTAAGTTTGTTTTTATAGAACAGAGCTATAATGCATAAGAGAAATTGGCCTGCCACTGGGACTGTCGCTAATCCTGAAGCTGCTCTTGGTCACTGGGTATGTCCGTAGGCAGTAGGCATGTCTGTCCTTGTCCCAGGATGAGCTCAGTGCATATCTGGCATCACAAACATGAAAGTAATGGTATCATATGTGTGGGGAAATGCTACAAAAGCTTCTAGAAAGTTCTAGAAGCTTCTGGAAAGCTTCTTGAAAGTTGGGTCAAAATGCACAGAAGTAGAGAATTCATTCTTCATAACTCTCCTGATGCTATCCTTTTAAAATTCTTTTTATGTAAGGAATGAAACACATTAACTATTCACCTAGTAATGCAATTTGTAACAGCTGATTATAGATATCATTTTCCTTTAATTCTGATGGCTGCTTGGCAGGAAAAGTACATATTTGTGAGAAAGTATTGATTTTCTATGAGCCTAGAACCATGGCTTAGTTACTAAACAGAAAACACAGCTAATCTGCTTATTGTTATCATGAAAGAAACAATAAAGGAATCACTGTCCAGATTCCTATGAGGCACACTTCTGTAATTTTTAAAGACACTCTTTGGAAACACCAGGGGCTGCCCAATTGCATCAACCTGCTTTATCTCAGCTACTTTATGGAAAACAGTGCCATCTTGTAGACCAAGTCCTGGACAGGAGAGAGACAGTGGTCCTAGCCCTGGCTGTACCTACTTCAGGAAGCCCTAAATCACTGTAGCTGATGGCAGGGACTTTAATGTCAGAGAGGTGTGTATTTGGGGGTAAACTACGCCACTGCTCTAAGCCTCAATTTCCTCAAATCCAAAATTGGATCAACAATAGTATGAACTTCAGAAAACTCTCATGAATAGTCAGTGTAATAGTGTGTGCATTTCGCACCATGCCTGGCTTATAGTAACAGTCCAATAAATGTTAGTGGTTGTCATCAGTACTACAATCAGGCTAACTACCTAATTAAGCCTCCCTGGCACCCCGTTTCCTCATTAGGACTAGATTAGTGCTTTTGAAACTTTTCCTCTAAATTATCCCTAAGAGAAAATAAGAAATGCATCCTCTGGAGGCCAGCTGGAAGTGTAACTTGAAAGGGGAAACCTCAACTGGAAAAAAAAAATCCCTTACATTTTTCTTACATTTCTTACTTTTTTATAGTTTATATTTTTCTCACATTTTTTAATCAAATGTATTCTGCCTCATAATAAATCTTTGTTTAAATATTTTAAAAAATATAGTTTGATCTTCCACCATATTTGATGCTGTAGGAAAATGAACTATGATCATCTCACGGCTCTGGAACCCCAGCCCACCCACAGTGATAGGCAGACCCTGCAGGAGGTGCACTCCACCAGATCCCTGTTACACAAAGTGTGGTCTGAGGGCCAGCATGCTGGCATCTCCTTGGACTTGGACGTTGTAAGAATTGCAGAATCTCAGACTTCACTCTGACCAACAGGCTCAGAACTGTTCTGGGTGATTGAATCACCCAGGAGGTTCACATGCTTGTTTAAGTTGAGAATCATTGAACTAGATGATTTCCAACAAACTTCTGGTGCTAACCTGCTTTGATTAAATAAAGTGGGGAAATCAGCAGACACTTAACTGAGCAGCTAATGGGAGCCTGGCACTGTGCTATTTAATGTGAGGAACAAAGAGATGATGACGATATCTTAACTTCTCTTGGGAGTTTTCTAGCTGGGAACAAGAAGGCAGCAGTGACCTGGCTCCATGGAACCAGAACCAGTCATTGGCCCCACTGGAATTTTGCTGAGCTATTCTTACTAGGATTGTCCATCCTTAAGGAGAAGCGAACACAAAGAAGACTAATGATCTCAACCTGGGGAGCTTAAAACAGTGAAGATAATTCTCCTTTCTTATAACCCCTTCCCCACACACCTGCCTATTTCCAGACCTATTAACAAATTATTCACTGTTCTCATCTATCATTTTTACATTCACACACTATCATTAGTGTATGGAAAAGCAAAAATGGAAAACAAACAAAAAAAGCTACCTGATATGAAGAAGAAATAATGAAATAATGTATTTTAATAGAATAATAACAAACAGTGTCCCTAAGGCAACTCTTAGGGTGCATAATCAGTTGAGTCTGTGGATTGCAGACACCTGTTTACAGTCTAAGCTTCCAACGTGCTCTCATTTGACCCTGTTACTCATAATTCATGGGTTCATTGAGAGCGGCAAGGGAATAAATGCTTTTCAGTATTTTATAGAGCCCTCCTTTTCTCCCCCTGAGACAGGGCTGTGTGAAGCAGTTACAGTTTGATGTTGGGCAGAGTGACATTTTTTGCCTAAAGACAACGGAATCTGCACTGTTATGAAAAATTGTCATGGCACAAAAAGCAATAAAGTCAGTGGCAGCCTAATATGCCTGTTTCTCCTGCTGTCTACAGTAGAGCTGTGTCACTAAAAGTGACAATAGTGGCAAAGTGTGACCTGTGGACATGGGTACATTGATGGAGAGGAAGATGAGGCTACAACCAGTAGGTTCCCTGGGAGGGTAGGTGGAGGGATTCCATGAGCGGGCTTCCTGGTTCCTCTGAATCTCAGTGCCTGGAGCGAAAACAGCGTGTTCGATCCTGCCCCTGAGAAGTGAAGACTCTCAACTCTGGTAATGCTCCTTGAAGGCATTTATGATGCATTGGTCCTTTTCCTGCCCATCATCATGAACATTTTCCATACTAGCCACCTGTCTTTCCCACAGGCTCTGTCTCAAACTCATTCAATCCAGTGCACTCCACTCCTCATCACTTAAGTTGCTCTCTCTAAGTCTACCCATGACCTGTTAAGTTCCCGGTCCATTGGCCTTCTGGAAGGTCTTCTGCTAAGACTTTACTCCAATATTTGAAACAATTTTCTCTTTTTAACATTCTCTCTTCCATTGGTACCTCATTATTTTGCTGGTGTTCAGCATATCTGGTCTTCTCTTCTGTGTTTCCTTTAATGGACTGACCCTTCACCCTGTCTGTGAAACACAGCTACTTCCCGAGGTCCAGTTCCTGCCTCCTGCTAGCTACACTTTCATCTTTAGACACTCATCCACTCTAACAGCTTCAAACAACGCTTCGCTGCAAATGCCTCCAAAATACACTTATGAAAATCTCAGTTTTCCCCTAGGATCAAATAATACATGTCCCACAGCTTGACTGGTCTTTGCATATGATTGACAGTATTTCTACTTACCAGCACCTAATTTTAAGATTAGCCATCTCCCAAGCTGAGTGCCAGTCTTATTAACATCAGGAAGTCTTTGATGGCCTGCAAGCCTAGAAGAACTTTTCTTTCTCCCTGTGTCAGTGAAGAGTCACAAAGTAATCCGTGTCCTTTGGTATTTCACAGAGCCATTTTTCTCCCCAAGACAGTACAGTGTTGAGAAGTTTGATGATGTGCAGAGTGACTTTTCTACCTTGCATTATTTCCACCTTGCATATCTGCAAGGTCATTTAGCACATATTTGTTGAGTGTCTACTGTGTGGTCATTCAGCACATATTTATTGAGTGTCTGCTGTGTGCATGGGGCTGTTCTATGTGCTAGGAATAGAGGGATCAACAAAAAAGGGGTTGCCATCAAGGAGCTTATATTCTGGAATGGGAGGAAGACCTGGCATATACAATTGAACCTTGAACAATGCAGGGATTAGGGGTGCCAACCCTGCCCCTTCCATCAATCGAAAACCCACATATAACTTTTGACTCCCCCAAAACGTAACTATGAATAGCCTACTGTTCACTGGAAGTCACAATGGTAACAAACAGCTGATTAACAGAGATTTTGCATATTTTATATATGTTATATACTATATTCTTACAATAAAGAATACAGCAGGAGGGAGAGGAAGAAACAAGGGTGACTCCCAAGTTTTAAGCCTGAGCAACTGGGAAAAAGGAGGTGTGAAAGATGAAAGGTTTGGGCTGTGAGAATGTGGAATTTGGTTTTGACATTTTTTTTTGTAGAGATAGGGTCTTGTTCTGTCACAAATGCTGGAGTTCAGTGGTGCAATCACAGCTCACTGCAGCTTTGAACTCCTGGGCTCAAGTGATCATCCCGCTTCAGTCTCCCGAGTAGCTGCGACTACAGGCACAAGTCACTAGGCCCAGCTAATTTGTTAATTTTTTTGTAGAGACAGGGCCTCACTATGTTGGCCACGCTGACCTCTAACTCCCGGGCTCAGGTGATCCTCCCGCCTCAGCCTCCTGAGTAACTGGGACCATAGGTGCAAGCCACCACACATGGCTTGGACTTTTTAAGTTTGAGGCGAGTACAGTATTAGACATCCAGGTGAAGAATCAAGGAAGCAATTTGTTAAATATGCCCTGGTTACCTCACTCTTAGATGACAACTGCACTGAAAATACAGCTTTTAAAATGCTTTGGAACAAAAGGAAATAGACCCGATGGGGAACGAACGAGGCAGATCACACAAACTACTGCTGCTCTTTTGTACGCTACACACTGAGAAACAGTCATCAAACACATAAAGTCATTTCTATTATATAATCAAATTATTCCTTCAAGTGGGCCTAGCCACTTTCATATTTTTAAACCAATACCTTGGAGCATTTCAGACCTTTTGTCTTACTCTTTTTTTTTTTTTAAAGAATGAGTATCCCTTTTATTTTATTTTTAAAGTATTATAGAGATTTTCATTTTATTTTAGAGTCAGGGGTACATGTGCAGGTTTGCTACCTGGATATATTGCGTGATGCTGAGTTTTGGGCTTCTATGGAACTCATTGCCCAAACAGTGAACATATACCCAGTAGGTAATGTTTTAGCCCTTGCCCCCTCCTTTCCTCCCAATTTTTGGAATCCTCAGTGTCTATTGTTCTCATCTTTATGTCCATGAGTACACAATGTTTAGCTCCCACTTATAAGTGAGAACATGCGGTATTTGATTCTGTGTTTCTGCATTAATTCACTTAGGATAATGGCCTCCAGCTGCATCCATGTTGCTGCAAAGCACACAATTTCATTCTTTTTCATTACTGTGTATTGTCCTACTCTTGATGCAAAACATATCAGTGTAGTGTAAGGTGAAAGGCAATAGTCATAGAGTTGATGAATTCACTTTATTTTGTCTACAAACAGTAGTGGATAAAGTGTCCTGTAGTGAGTGGAATAGTAGATACTGGAGACTCCAAAGGGTGGGAGAGTGGGAGGGGGGTGAGGAATGAAAAGCTACCCACTGGGTACAATGTACACTATTTGGGTGAGGGACACACTAAAAGCCCAGACTTCACCACCATGCAATATATCCATGTAACAAAAATGCACTTGTACCCCCTAAATCTGTTTTTTTAAAAAGGTCTTGCAGTGTGACTTGGTGGATGCCAAGAAGGAGTTCTGGGAACTGGCCTTTCCTACAACAGAGAGAATGCCTCCGAGACGCTGATCAGCCAAATGCTCTGACCACGGCCATGTGCATTAAGTATACACCCACGAGAGCCTAAGCATATACTTAATTGCACCAAAATGTCCATGAAGCCTACCCAACTGATTTTCAGTTCCCATTCATTATTTATGAGACAGGTGATAAGTTACACTGAAACGATGCCAATGATAGTTGGCATATAACTATGATAAGACCTTTGGTGGTATACGTTCCTCTTGTGTGATTTCAATTTCTTAAAATATGCTGTGATTTTTTTCTGTCCCCATTGATTTACAGATAAAAATCTTTGTTTTCCACTTCTTTTTTCTCTGTGACTGCCCTCCATTACACTTCATCATTATTCTATTTTCTTTCTTGAGCTCTAATGGAAAAGACGGGAGTACCATGACAGAAGGAAAATATAAAAACTCCAGTACCTACATAGAAGTGCAACCTTGGATGCTCTTCTAGGAAGACAAGACCCCATCTAGGTATGTATTTAATATATATTTGTTCACAGAAGTCATAGTAATGTCGTAGAATAAACTATAATAGCAACAGGAGTTTCAGCATTTTGTATTTATTTGATGAACTTAAAAAAATGCTCAGCCAAAAGACTCCAAGAAAAGTGTTCCCCAAGCCAGAATGTAAATGTCACTGAACACAGTCAATATAAAAATATCAGCATAAAGTCCCCTTACACCCTTATCCTTGTGGAAATGATAGTTTATTTATACTAAGCTCAGACTAAGATGAATTGGTCAGGTCCAGTGTGCTGCCAGCTAGGTAAAATGAACAAAATTTCAATTTTATTTCAAAACATGATCTCTCCAAATCTGGAAAAAACAATCCACTATTTATGTGAACACAAGGATGATCAACTTCCAGTAAAAATTATGAATCTTTTCAATGCTTTCCTAATTTTGAGGTGACAGTACATCCATTAAGAATTACATTATCATAGATCAATAAAGTTCTTTATAGGAAGATGGAAACAAATATAGAAATGGAGAAAAGGTTTCATCTTTATTCTGAAATGGGGAGTTGTTCTTGTCTGTCTTTAACGGACATGTATTTGGACAGTTTACAAGGACTGAAAGAGAGCCAACTTCCACACAGTGGAGGAAATCTGCTTCACAAAAGATAATCAGAAAACTTCCTCAGAGACACTGAGGTGCTAACCCCTGGCATAAGGGGTTGAAATGGGTAATTAATTGTCCAAGTCACTCTCAATGCAATTGCTGAGCAAAACTTAAGAGTTACGTTAGTCAGAGGCTTACATTTTCTTGGAAGATCTTGAGAAAAACAAACTTTAAGGATCGTCAATTAAAATATCCTTTAAATCCACCTTGGTTAGTAAAATTACTTACATATCATCAATAAAAATATCCATCATCCCCCACCTACTTCTTATGTCAGTTCATTTTCAAAATGTCACTTGGCAAATCATTCAAAGGAGTTTAGGTAAGTTAACACCAGAGAAGCTATTTTCTTTCAGTTAAAAAAAATACATTGTTTTTCACATAAAAAGTAAAATATTTATTAAGGATAATTCTGTCCTCTTAAGAATAACCAATACTACAATATCATAAAGATTGGTTAGTTCACCAGTGTGAGCTAATTAATGGATTAATGATCTATTCTCACGTGTGGATCATGGTGTAAGTATTTTTGGAAATTATCCAATATCAGATATTTACAGAGATACGATATCAAACTAAATACTGTTAAGTGACCAACATAATGGCTATTCTGCTTTTTAAAAGACTATTAAATTTATTGATAGGATCGGAAACATCTTGAAAATAAGTAACAGAACAGAGAAATGGTTGGATGGAGATATATCAATGTAAAATAAATTACTTAATATCTGAAGTGGTTTCATGTGTTATAAAACTTGTAAATTAATAAACAGAAACACTACTGCTTGTTAAGAAGATGGTAATTAAAAGCGTGGAGTTAGATCTGAAATAAGCCACCGAATTTGTATAGCTCAATTCCCACATTTTAGTGGTGAGAAAATAAAAACACAGAGAGATTATGTAGAAAGTACCCAACTGACAGAAGCTAAAACAAAATGCAGGACGCATGTAACAGTTTCCTGGTTACCATTCATCTTGCTCTAATGGCTGAAATCTTGAATGTTACTGAATCATCCATTTGAGTTATACAATGATATACAGTAAATCATCTAACCCAAATAATAGGTCACCTCAGGGAAAAAAGACAAAAAAAAAAAAAAAACAACAAACGAATTAATAAGTGGGAGAGGCAAAGCAAAAGGTAACTCTAACTAAGGTGTTTGTTAAACTTGTGAAGGTTTTTTCTGTAACCACGTGCATGTCATCATTAGAAAAAACCACATCTCATTTATTTCACTGTGATCTCTGTACTGTCTCCAGACATGTTAGAGCTACTAGCTGATATATCATTTATTTTATTTAATCTCTATACTCTCTACTCAAAATTATTTTCTGTGAAGAAAATAAAAACTCTCAGATCTAAACTATTTAAAGTGGGTAATTTAGGCTGGGCACCATGGCTTATACCTGTAATCCCAACCCTTTGGGAGGCGAAGGCAGGTGATTGCTTGAGTAAGAGACCAGCCTGGGCAACAGGGCAACACCCTGTCTATACAAAATATGCAAACATTAGCTGGGTGTGGTGGGGTGAACCTGTTAGTCCCAGCTATTTGGGAGGCTGAGGTAGGAGGAAAATTTGAGCCCAGGAGGTTGAGGCTGCAGTGAGCCGAGATCGCACCATTGCACTCCAGCCTGGGTTGACAGAGTGAGATCTTATCACCAAAAAAAAAAAAAAAAAAAAAAAAATACACATTTCATTTCTGACAAGTTCATGTTTGCCTATTTCTAACAGAATAAGTTGTGATAAAGTCAGAATTTCCTAAATGCCTCAGAAAACTGAGAAAATTGACAATATCCCACCATTCACAGTGGTCTGCTTAATCCTAGCAGGTGAAATGTTTTCATGCTTAAAAGCTCAAGAGGAAAAGAAGAAAAGAGCATCTACAGCAATTCCATTCTATGACTCCTCATCTGATATATTTAATTCTTCTCTGCCTGAGCAGTTACAAAAAAATTAGAACATTATTAGAAATCACTTTTCTCAAATTTGTGGTCTTATTGTTTATCATCAGTTTTTAAAAAGTCCCTAATGCTGACAGGCTCCCTCTCACTCTTTTCTAGAAGTGTGGTAACTGGATAAAGAATCAAAGCATGGTTCCCTTCAAAGGTAGGCCCACTGGTCTTGCTGAGACCCTCCCTGACAACTTAACCCAGGAATGACAACATGGTTATTGTGATTTTATTTCATCATGCTCCCAGCAGCACACTAAATTGTCACTCTTGGAAGAAAAGGTAAAACTACATTAAATGAAAAATCCTGAAGTATTCCCTGGAGAATGATGAAATCAGTGTTACAATACAACACCTTTTAGAATGGCTACTCATTTTAAAAGGCCAAACCAAAAGACAGCAGTGATTTACTGATGTTCAATAATTCGTATCTTTCTAACACTGGGAAAAGTCCAAGTGTGTGACAAATACTGAGAAATGCTTAAAGTACACTGTAGTGTCACTGGAAAAATAACTGAGGCAAAGTCAAACTCTCCATCTAGCATCAAAGGACTGCCAGGAAGTTTAGGATTTGGCTTCCTATTGATACTTGTGTTATAAAAGATGATCATTTTCTATTTCACAGCATCTGTAACTAGGCCACAAACAAAGGCGAAGGTCTTGCCATAAAATGCAAATCACACATGTGTCACTCAGGCATGTCGTAATTTATTGAAGACAACATAATTTGATGAACAAACCTCAAGCCTGGGGTCCAGGGCTTAAATTTTAAGCTTGATTCTGTGGTCCATTATTTCAATGATCTTGGCAAGAACCAGGTACTCTGAACTTTACCAATTTAAAAATTCATTCAAGTCCTAAGGTCCTATAACTTTATTTGAACACATTTTACTTTTAACAAACTTCTATAAATGAGAAGAACAAAGAATTTGGAAGTCATCCTCTATATAGGTTTTTGAAGATGGGAAAGAACTCTCAAAATGATTTCATCTATTTGTCTACATTAAAATGCATGTTCATATTGAAAGTTGCTCAGGGTTTGTTTTGACTTGGATCTATGTGAGAGCAAGTGACTTTTTTTCTCTGTCAACCCCAAGACCTCACCCAGAGCCTGGCAAACCAGCTCTCTTTGACTAAGGGATGAACAGTAATTCTGTACCTTAAATGCTTCTGATGATCAGACTGCAAGCTGTCAGTCTGAGAGATCACAGAGATTTCAGAGATCTGTGAGATCTTCATGTCTTGTCCATCACTGCTCCCTGGTGTCTGGTGCAATGACAGGCATATAATAAGTACTCAACAACCATCAACAAAAAGCAGAGTTCTTCTCCCTCCATGATCCTGGCAGTGAAAGTCAGAAAGGAAGAAAGGGCAAAGGAAGGAAGAGGACTAGCCTTGATGCCCCAGTGGCCAAGGTGCTCAGAGAGAGCCTGGAAGACACCCAGAGCTTGGACCACAGCAGCAATGAGACACACTGCAGGGTAATGAGGAAACCAATTCCGCAGCTTGACCTGTCCAAATGCGTCTCCTTCTCAATGAACTCTTCTCTGTCTTCTTCTTTTCTAAACCAGTATTTGAAGCAGGATTGATAAGACTGAATACGTATATTTACAGACACATGCACCCACTATTGTAGGTCTTGTATCTGCCAATCTACCCACTGTGTTTCTGGTAGCCACATGCCCCCATTGCTGTCTCATGTTCACAGCTGAATCCATAGACTTTCAAGCCCATCTCTTTATACAACTCGTTGAGGATCTGCTTCCTCCTTTCTTACCCATCTCAGTGTCTGTGCCTATGTGCCTAATGAAATATCACCAACCCTTTTCTTTCTTTTCTTTTCTTTTTTCTCAAGCTCTCTGAGCTGGCAGAGATTATACTGAGCCCTCTGATTGGTTTGTGATCTCCCAAGGCAAAGCCAGTCTTAGGATGGCAGGGAAAATGTATCCTTGCCTCACACATCAGAAAATAAAACTGATTAGAAAAACAGAAATGCCTGTAGTAACATTTCTACAGCCACTAAAGAGGTAGCCACAATCCTACCAACTCACTCTTCCCAAGTCTCCCTGCTTAGCAGATCCTTTCATGGTATTACTGAAATTGCTCAACATGCCCCTTTTAAAGAAATGTTTACTGGCTGGGCATGGTGGTTCACGCCTGTAGTCCCAGGACTTTGGGAGGCCAAGAAGGTTGGATTGCTTGAAGCCAGGAGTTCGAGACAAGGCTGGCCAACATGGTGAAACCCTGTCTCTACTAAAAATACAAAAATCAGTTGGATGTGGTGGTGCATGCCTGTAATCCCAGCTACTCAGGTGCCTGAGGCAGGAGAATTGCTTGAACCTGGGAGGCAGAGGTTGCAGTGAGCCGAGACTGCATCACAGCACTCCAGCATGGGCAACAGTGAGAGACCCTGTCTCAAAAATAAATGAATAAACAAAAATAAAGAAAAGCTGTGGGACATGCTAGTTTTGTGTGTTTTTTTTTTTTTTTCTCCAGGAGCGACTCCTACAGATATTTTCCTATTTTTTGGTGATATTTTACCAGAAAAAAACAAAAAACAAAATAAAATCTCTCTTGTTTTTCTGTGAATAAATTTTATCATGCTTTTTCATTTTAACAGTACTTTTCACAAACTTATACATGTTTTACATTATGGAGTAGATGAGACTTTATCCTGCCATTGACTCTGATGTCCACAAAGCTATATTTTGAGGCCCAAGCACAGTCCTTGCTCTATCACATTTGTGCTCCAGGAAGTTAATGAGGTTTAGGAACTAATATTCTGTAAAAGAGGTCAGGGAGCTTTTCTTCAAATTTTAGATCTGCTAACAGCTTTGTGATTCTCTGCCTAGGTTTCCACAATTGCCAGGCTAGACAGGGGAAACTGATTGTAGTGGTCTGTTCTTATGTGGCTAATAAAGACATACCCAAGACTGGGTAATTTATAAAGAAAAGAGGTTTAATTGACTCACAGTTCTACATGGCTGGGGAGGCCTCACAATCATGGTGGAAGGTGAGTGAGGAGCAAAGTCATGTCTTACATGGTGGCAGGCAAGAGAGCTTGTGCAGGGGAACTCCCCTTTATAAAACCATCAGATCTCATGAGATTTATTCACTACCATGAAAACAGTTTGGGGGAAACTTCCCCCATGATTAAATTATTTCCACCTGGTCCTACTCTTGACGTGTGGGTATTACTACAATTCAAGGTGAGAATTTGGTGGCGACACAGCCAAACCCTATCATTCTTACCCTGGTCCCTCCCAAATCTCATGTCCTCACATTTTAAAACCAATCATGCCTTTCCAACTGTGCCCCTAAATCTTAGCTCATTTCTGCATTAACCCGAAAGTCCACAGTCCAAAGTCTCATGTGAGACAAGACAAGTTCCTTCTGCCTATGAGCCCGTAAAATCAAAAGCAAGTTAGTTACTTCCTAGATCCAATGGGTACGGGCATTGAGTAAATACACCTAGGGTACAGGTATTGAGTAAATACACGGGTTACAAATGGTAGAAATTCGCCAAACGGGGGCTACAGGCCCCATGCAAGTCTGAAATCCAGTGGGGTAGTCAAATCTTAAAGCTCCAAAATGATCTCCTTTCACTCCATGTCTCACATCCAGGTCTCTGATCTTAACTATTCTTCAAAAGACTAATGAGGAATCTGCAAAACTGAGCTAACTCCACACTTATCCAGTGTGGCTGGGAAAGCGGTTGCTAAAGTTTGGATGTTTGTCTTTCCAACCCTCATGTTGAAATTTGATCCCCAGTGTTGGAGGTGGGGCCTAATGGGAGGTGGTTGGGTCATAGGGGTGGACCCCTCATGAATACATTATTGCCCTACCTGAAGTTGGGGATGGTGAGTAAGTTCGCTCTTAGTTCCTGAGGGAGCTGGTTGCTAACAGGAGCCTGGCACCTCCCCACTCTCTCTCTTGCTTCCTCTCTTTCCATGTGATCTCTGCACATGCCAGCTCCCCTTCACCTTCCTCCATGAGTGGAAGCAGCCTGAGGCCCTCATCAGAAGCAGATGTTGGTGCCACACTTCTTGTATAGCCTGCAGAACTGTGAGCCAAATATGCCTTTCTTCTTTATACATTACCCAGTCTCAGGCACGCCTTTATAGCAATGCAAAATGCACTGAGACAGTGGTGTTCTGCTTAATGATGGTAGAAGTATATTCCTGTTTCATATTGCTTATTTATTGTTCAGAGACTGCTTAATCTTCGCCAAATTAATTTTTCTTCCTCCAGAGTATACAACTAGATGACATTTTCCAGTCTCCTTTGTAATTAGGCATAATTTGAGCACTGGCCAGTGAGACATGACAGACGTAATATGCATCACTTCAAACCTGGTCTAGTACCCTCCAATGACCACATCTCACATGCTCTTTTCTCTTCTGAATGGGTGCAACGAAGACACCTTTAGTGTGACCTTGGAGACCACATTTGAACATGGTGAAGCCAAAGGATGGAATGGTCCTCAAATCACTCAGAGAAAAGACGCCTGACCAGGAAGACCCCAAGTGGACTCTTACACAAGCGAAATATAAGATAATGCTGTTTTAATCCACTGGGATTTTAGAGTTTGTAAGTTATATAATAGTTAGAATTACTATAACTAATACACATTAAATATCCTTTCAAAGAATTAAAATGGCATAAAATATACTTTACAATTGAATGAAAATTTCATTTTTTGTAGATTTAAAGTATATTACAGTCTTTCGCTCAGGGTTATCACTTGTTTGTTTTGTTTGTTTATTTTGTTTTTGAGACAGATTCTCACTCTGTCGCCCAGGCTGGAGTGCAGTGGTGCCATCTCAGCTCACTGCAACCTCTGCCTCCCAGGTTCAAGCAATTCTCCTACCTCAGCCTCCCGAGTAGCTAGGATTACAGGTGTCTACCACCACGCCTGGCTAATTTTTGCATTTTTAGTAGAGATGGGGTTTCACCATGTTGCTCAGTCTGGTCTGGAACTCCCGACCTCAAGGAATCCACCTGCCTCAGCCTCTCAAAGTGCTGGGATTACAAGTGTCAGCCACTGTGCCTGGCCTCAGGGTTATCATTTGAAACATGAATTGCCTTTAAAGGACTGTTAACGTAGGCCTTAGAAGACACTGGAAGGAAACCTGGCTATCATATGAAATGGTATGAAAATCTAAATACAACATGCAAAAAAAATCTAATTGCTGAAGGTTGGTGGTTGTCTGCTTTCTCAATATTAAAATATTTGCTCTACATGAGATTCAGGGGAAGAAAAACAAAACTATTTTTTCGTTTTGTCTTGTGGTATTATTTTGAGTTGGGGGGTCTCACTCTACCAGGCAGGCTGGAGTGCAGTAGTGTGATCATGACTCACTAGAGCCTCAAACTCCTGGGCTCAAGTGATCCTCCCTCTTCAGACTCCCAAGTAGCTAGTACTACAGATGCATGCCACCATGCCCAAATAATTAAAAAAAAATTGTTGTAGAGAGGAATCTCTTTATGTTGCCCAGGCTAGTCTTTTCCGAGCCTCAAACAATCCTCCTGCCTTGGCCTCCCAAAGTGCTGAGACTACAGGTGTGAGCCACTGCACTTGGCCTGCTTAACCATTTAACCTTAGAATTACAGTGAAATAACAATTACAGTGAAATAACAACTGTAAGAATTACAGTGTACTTTAAATATATATGTAATCTTTTTACATTTAATTCCCAAATATGAATTGAGATAAATAAAATTAACTTTACATATTAGAAAATTGCAGGCAAGCTATGTTAAGACACTTGCCTAAGATCGGACAACTTGTAAATGACAGGGCTGTAATTTAAACTTAGTTGTGGTGATTCTCACGCTTATTCTCATTAACAGAGGAGTGTGAGGTAGCTGTTCCCGCTTCCCCTCAGCATGGGCCAGCACGATCACATTGCAATCTGGGTCTGCCTGTTTCACTTTACTGAACTATCCTAATGTCGCAAGGACCTTTGAATTGCCGAGTCTCATGATACTTTTTCTATCCTCATTTTACCTCTCTCAAGAATCCAGGTTATTGATCTTTCCTGCCACTGGGAGTTCTTGTTTCGGCTTCTAAGACCTGATGTCTTGGCTTCTTCCCTCCAGGCTGGCTTCTTTCAAGCTTCTACACGGCTTCTGCTTCATCCTTACTGCCAAGGCTTCATCCTCTGCCCTGGGGGCTCCTCAGTCCATATGCAGGTGGCTTTAACCAAACTCCCTGAATCCAGAGCTAACCTCAAGGAGAAACTGTTTCTTTCATATCAGACATCTTCTGAGTTCCAGACATGGCTCTTCAGCCACCAGGTGGATACCATGATGAGATGACTCTGGCATTGCAGACTTCAGAAATCTAAAATTAAACTTACCATCTTTCCTTTCCAACTTGGCCTTCCTGCATCCTGTCTGAGTTGGTATCATTCACCTATTTATGAAAACCAAAATTATGGGCAAGAGCTTAGATTTGAATTTTTTTCTCATGCACCACCTGGTTTATTATAATCACCCACTGATTAGTCTTCCTGACTCTTGTCTGGCCCCTCTGACAAATGTTTCTATGTGGAAGCCAGAGTGGTCTTCCTAATATATAAATTTATCATTGAGTTTGCTTGCACAATGTCCTTCAGTGGCTCCCTGTAACCTCAAACTTTGGTTTTCGCTACAGGATTTTCCATGACCTGGTATTTCTCACCAAACTTCCCTCCTTCACTCTCTGTTCACTTGGTCCTTACCCTGACTTCCACTATGCACATGATTCCCCAAAGCCGGGTGACACTACGGCGTCATCTCATTTGCTGTGCATATGACACCTTCAGCAGCATGCCTCGCTGTGGAAGGCCCGCCTGCCCTCGGCACCCTGCGGTGTGAGATGCGGCATTCCTCTGAGCCCAGTGACCTCTGAGCACCTCTCTGTTATAACAATGATCACAAGGCTCTGTCCCTGCCTGAGCTGCTTAGGTAAGGCTCATCTCAGACTAGTACAGAAGCCGTTTAGAAGCTAAACAGATTTACGAGCTGTACCACCAGACTCCTCTCCTACTGCTAATTAGCTGTGTGACCCCTGGGCAAATGACTTACCCTCTCTCGGTCTCAGCTTCCTTATCTATAAGATGGGAATCATAACAATATCTATCTCATAGTAATGTTGTGAGGGTTAAATGAGGAAATACACATGGAATGTTTAGAATGGTGCCTGGCACACAGCACATTGTAAGTATAGGTAATTATTATTATTTGCTTTTGCCTCACAGTAATCTAGCATGGTGGATACAAAATATTAATAAAATGAATTATACAAAGCTGAGAGGGGGAGTGCTGTTTGTTTTAAAAATAAAATTAAATCAGACTGCATCTTGACTAAAGTAATATCCAGTCCTTCTGAAATTAAATGGATATCAGGATAACTATAGGATAATGCTACTGTAGAGGAAATAGAAATAAAAAATAGGTTAAAAGTGAAGCTGAGGAACCCTTCAAAGTATACTATACTCAAACAAATAACTTGAGATAATATGTTTAAAATATTAGACTGATCAATATTGTGTAAGCACTTGAACCTATTTCCTAAGGCCAGTTATACCCATATGTACTACACATATACACACACAGAGGACAGAATTTTAAACACATATAAAATTTTACATAAAGAAAATAATTCTGGTCCCTTCCTTAGGAAAGGCTCCTAAATATCCAAGCAGGAAGAATTTGCAAACTAAACCCTTCCATGAAGATTAAAACAAAAACCAAAGTCTATTAGTGGCAGCTGCTTCCATCAGTCAGTTTAGCTCCCATTTTTTTTTTCCACGAAGAAACTAACCCTTGTCAATCCCAGCTGATACCTGTGAATAGAGAAGAAGTTGTCCAAGGCAAAACTAAGCTGAGAAATCTATAAAGCACTGATAGAAATAATAAAAAACTAGATAGACATTAAAATAAAGAAAGAAATTCTGCACTGAAGTAAGAAAGATAAGTGGGGAAAACATGGAGAGGAAGACTGACGAGGGCAGAGAAGTCAATGAGACTGTAGCAGAAGCAAACAAGCTATCTATGTGGTCTTCACGCATGCAGACAGAAAGCGAAGGGTTTACACAATTTATTTTTCTATTTCTAAATCCTCAAATGTTCATCACAACTAAATTCCAAAACCCATTTAAAAGAATGCAGCCTTCATAACTCACAATGTAACTTCAAGAAGTCACATAACCGGGTTTAATAATGTTTTCCATCTCCATGAATTTCAGCTGATCTATACAAATACTCCTCAATGAAATCACAGAGAGTTTATCTACAATCACGGCCTGAGGATGCTGGACCTGAACTGCTTGGCTTTTATAGGGGAGCAATTGCACTGCAGTGGTTGGAAGGCTTCCCTCTGCCTTCCTGGTCCTATTTATGCCAAGACCCTCAAATCGTGCAGAAGGAGCTGCGAGCCTTGCTGAGAGGTTGCAAAGCTGGCACATGGATAGTGGAAATATTGCCAAGTCAGCAAACTGGCAGATGGCAAATTGGAAAAAAAGCAAGAGAACTGAGAAGACAATGAACATTCTAGACAACTATAGGATAAAATGTGGATTGTTTTTAATTAACAATTTGGTATGCAAATCTTGTAAGAAATGAAAGAACTAAAAAGCCTAAACTAAAATCACTGAAAAATAGAGCTGGAAAGACATTAGAAATCACTTAGTTCCCTCAGTCCTCCAAATGTGTCAAGGGAGGAGAAAGACTTAGAGAGGCTCAAGTGATTTCCATTAGCCTTGTTGCTAATAAGTTAATTCAGTCACTAAAAATATAAAGAAACAAAAACAAACAAAAAACCATTAGGAATAAAAAGGAAAAGCGTTAGAAAAAGAATAAATAAAGGTAAAATCAAAACTTCTATTTTTGTATTTTTAAGTAATCTAACATATAACATTTTGTTCAAAATGTTAATTGTAACGACGTATTAATAATTACAGCTAATGTATAAGTCAAATAAATGACAGCAATGATATAGGGGACAGGAGGGAGGAATTTGGAATACTTTGCTATTCTAAGGTACTTATATCACCACAAAGTGGTATAGTGTTAATTGAACGTGGACCTGAGTTAGCTGTAAATGTATTGCACACTTTAAGGCGACCACTAAAAAATAAAAATAGAAAAGGAGTAAAACTGATATACTAAGAAAGGAGAGAAAATGAAATCACATAGAATGTTCAATTAAAATGACTGAAAGTAGAAAAAGGAAAAATAAAAATAAGAACAATGAACTTGGGCAACACATAGAAAACAACAGCTAATGCTAATCAAAAGAAACCAGGTGTAGTCATATTAATTTCAGACAGAGTAGACCTCAGAGCAAGAAAAGTTATCAGGGAAAAAAGAGGAGCATTGCACAATGATAAAAAGGGATCAATTCCCAAGAAGGCCTAACGATGAAACTTTACAAGAAAGCATCTAAGTAAGTGAAGCAAAAACTTATAGAACTGATGAATCTTGGAATACTAGGCAGACATCAAAAAGAACGAAATCATGTCCTTTGCAGCAACATGGATGTAGCTGGAGGCCATTATCCTCGGTGAATTAATGCAGGAACAGAATACCAAATACTGCACGTTCTCACTTATAAGAGGGAACTAAACATTGACTACATCTGGACATAAGAAGGGAACAATAGTCACTGGGGACTACCACAGTGGGTAGAGTGGAAGTGGGGAAAGGGTGGAAAAACTACCTATCAAGTACCGTCCTCACACTCTGGTGACAGGATTATTTGTACCCCAAACCTCAGCATCATGCAACTTATTCATGTGACAAACCTGCACATATACCCCCGAACCTAAAATAAAAGTTGAAAGAAAAATTAACAAATCTATCTTATCTTGCAATTCTTAAATGTCATTCACATGTATCTAAATTTGAGTCTGTTTTTATTAATCTTGTTCAGTTCTCAGCTGTTCATTTCAGACTTTAGACTCATGCATTTGATTGTTTGACTATTTACTCACTTCTCTCTGTTCTTTTAGGGAGTAACCTGGAATCCCTTCAAGATGGCTATTATTATCTTGCATGTTTTATATAAATCCTGCATATACTCTTATTCATTTATTTCTGTGAAATTTACCTTTCTTAGTCTTCTATTAATAGCTTACTATCTTCAGCTGTGTCCATTCTATTTTCAACATAGATACACATACATAATAATATGTATTTTCCCATATATTAAGACTATTGAATATGTTTTTATAACTTAGAAATTTTCCAAAATATTGTTTCTTATCTCTCTAAGCATAACTATAATTATTATATTAAATTATATTTTTTATCCTCCATTAAAAAAGAAACAGGTGAATCCAATATTATAGCTGGAGACTTTGACATCTACTTATGAGAAATAGACCCAGCAGACAGAAAATCAGAAAGGACATAGTTGAGCTCAAAAATACCATAGGTATAATGAACATCTGTAGACTATTTCAGACAAAAGTATTAGAGTATACATTCTTCTCAAGTTTATATGAAGCATTCACCAAAATAGACCACATTCTGGGCCATAAAACACACTTTAACAAATTAAAAAAACTAGAAATCAAACAACGTCTGCTTTAAGACTACAATGAAACTAAATTAAAAAACAATAACTATAGCTGAAAAGTCCCCAAAACAGAAAGTAAACAACTCCCTTCTAAATAATATATGTGTCAAAGAAGAAATCGCAAAAAGAAATTTGGAATATTTTGAACTAACTGCAAATGGTACACAATTTTATCAAAACTTGTGTGGTGCAGCAAAACTAGTGCTGAAGGGGAAATTTATCGCATTGAGTGTATATATTAGGAAAGAAAGATCTTAAAATCCATAATCTAAGTTTCCACCTTAGAAAAGTAGAAAAGGAGCAAATCAATTCCAAAGTAAGCAGATAGAAAAGAAATAATAATAAATGGAGCAGAAATCAATGAAACCGATTTCTACAAAGAGAAAATCAGTAGAGAATATCAACTAAACTGAAAACTAGTTCTTTGAAAAGATCAGTAAAACCAATAAGTCTCTAGCCAGGCCAACTAAGAAAAAAAGTAAGAATTCAAATTACTAAATCATAATCGAGAGAGGAGACATCACTGCAGATAACATGGACTTTACAAGGATGATAAAGGAACATTATGAACACATGTTGCCCACAAATTTGATAATCTAGATGGCAGGAATTAATTTCTTGAAAGCTACAAGCTGCCAAAAACTTAGACAAGAAGCAACAGTTGATCAAAATAGGCCTATATCCATTAGAGAAATTAAATAAATAATTAATTCACTTTCCAAAATGGAAACACTAGTCCCAGATGGGTTCACTGGTAAATGCTACCAAATATTTAAAGAAAAATTACACCAATTCTCTATGATCACTTTCAGCAGATAGAAGCAGATAAAATACTAATACACTCTATGAGGCTAACATTATCCTAATACCAAAACTAGACAAATACATTACAGGAAAAGAAAACTATAGACCAGTATTGCTTAAGAACATAGATGCAAAAGTCCTCAACAAAATATTAGCAAACCAAATCCAACAATACATAAAAGGAATATACAATACGACCAAGTGAAATTTATCCCAAATATGCAAGGCTGGTTCAACATTTGAAAATTCATTAATGTAATCCATAATATCAATATGGTAAGATGAAAAACAACTTGATTATATCAATAAATGCAGAAATAGGATTTGACAAAACCCAACACGTATTCATGATAAAAGTCCCAGTAAACAAAGAAGAGAGGGAAATATCCTTAATTTTTAAGGAATATCTACAAAAATTTCACAACTAATATCATACTTAATAATGAGAAACTAGTAGCTTTCCCACTAATATCATGTACAAGGCAAGGATGTCCCCGCTCACCACTGCTTTTCAACATGACACTGGAAGTTCCAGCTAATGCAATAACACAAGAAAAGGGAATGCTAAGAATTTAGATTAGGAAGGAAGAAATAAAACTGTATTGGCATGATCATCTATGTAGGAAATCCAAAAGAACCCATAAAAAATCCCCAAAACAAAAATAGAAGAACAAACCCTCTTGCCCAAACTCCTAAAACTAATAAGCAATTGTAGCAATGTTGCAGAATGCAGTTCACAACAGTCCATTGCTTTCCTGTACTAGCAATGAACAGGTGGAATTTGAAATTAAAAACACATATTAATGTTAATTTCCCCCAAATAGGTATAAATCTATCACAATAGTGTAAGATTGACATGAGGAAAACTCTGAAACTCTGAAACTATAAAAGCTGTCAAAGAAGAACTAAATAAATGGAGAGATGTTTCATGCTCATGGATAGGAAGACTCCATATTGTCCAGATGTCAGTTACTCCTCATTTGATTTCTAGATTCAATACAATCCCAATCAAAATCCCAGAAAGTTATTTTGTGTATATGGGCAAAATGATTTTAAAGTTTACATGGAGAGGCAAAAGATCCAGAATAATCAATACAATATTAAAGGACAACAAAGTCAGAGGCCTGATACCATCTTACTTCAAGACCTGTTAAAAGATAATCAAGACAGTGTTCTATTGGTGAAAGGACAGACAGATTAATAAAACAAAATAGAGAGCCCAGAAATAGGCCCACATGAATATAGTGAACCGATCTTTCACAATGGTGCAAAGGCAATACAACAGACTACAGATAGCTTTTCCACAACTGGAACGACTCGACATCTATACACACACACACACACACACACAAATAAATGTAGACACAGACCTTACACCCTTCACAAAACATTAACTCAAAATGAATCACATATCTAAATGTAAAATATAAAATTATAAAACTTCTAGAACGTAACGAAGGAGAAAATCTAGGTGGCCTTGGGTTTGGTGATGACTTTTTTGATACAACACCAAAGTAACCATTCATGAAAGAAATAATTGATAAGCGGGACTTCATTAAAATGTCTTCTCTGTGAGAGACACTGTCATGAGAATGAGAAGAAAAGTCACAGACTGGAAGAAAATATTTGCAAAACACATAAAGAACTGTTCTCCAAAATATACAAAGAATGCTTACAACTCAACAATAAGAAAACCAACCACCTGATTAAAAAATGGTCAAAGCCTGAACAGACTCTTCACCAAAGAGGATATACAGTTGGCAAAGAAACATAGGAAAACATGCTCAACATATTTTCTTAGAGAAATGCAAAGTAAAACAACAGGATACCACTACACACCTATTAGAATAGCAAAAATCCAGAACACTGAGAACACCAAATGTTGGTGAGGATATGGAGCAGTAGGAACTTTAATTTATTGCCAACAGGAACGCAAAATGGCACTGATGCTTTGGAATACTGTTTAGCAGTTTCTTACGAAACTAAACATATTCTAACTATACAATCTGGCAATCACATTACTTGGTATTTATTCAAAGGAGCTGAAAACTTATGTCCACACAAAAGCCTACACATGAATATTTATAGCAACTTTATTCATAATTGCTAAAACTTGAAAGCAACCAAGATGTCCTCCAGTAGGTGAATGAATAAATAAACTGCAGTACAATGGAATATTATTCAAAGCTACAAAGACAGACACTATCAAGACATGAACTGACATGAAGGCACTTTAAATGCATGTTACTAAGGGAAAAAAGGCAATGTGAAAAGGCTACATACTACATGATTACAAGTATATGACACTTTGGAAAAGGCAAATATATGGAGACAGTAAAAAGATCAGTGGCTGCCAGAGGTTAGGGTGCAGGGAGGAATGAATAAGTAGAGCACAGAGGATTTTTAGGTGACACTATTCTTTTTTTCTTTTTTTGAGACAGTGTCTTGCTCTGTTGCCAAGTCTGGAGTACAGTGACACAATCTCAGCTTACTGCAACCTTCACCTCCCAGGTTCAAGCAATTCTTGTGGCTCAGCCACCCAAGTAGCTGGGATGACAGGCTTGTGCCACCATGCCTGGCTAATTTTTTGTATTTTTAGTAGAGACGCGGTTTTGCCATGCTGGCCAGGCTGGTCTCAAACTCCCGGCCTCAAGTGATCCACCTGCCTCGGCCTCCCGAAGTGTTGGGATTAAAGGCATGAGCCAACACACTTGGCCTAGGTGAAACTATTCTGTATGATACTATAATGGTGGATACATGATTCTGTAATTGTGAATATACTTGTCTGAACCCATAGAATATACAACACCAAGAGTGAAACCTCAGGTAAACCAGGGTCTTTGGTGATGATGTGTCAATGTTGATGCATCTCTTGTCACAATTACACACCCTGGTGGGGGATGCTGAAAACAGGGGAGGCTGTGCATGTGTTGGGGCAGGGGGTGTATGGGAATTCTCTGTGCTTTCTTCTCCATTTTGCTATGAACTTAAGACTTCTCTAAAACGTGTAGTCTATGAAAAAACAAAGAAACAAACAAACAAATAAATAAAAAACACCAAATCCCACAAGTGAAGTTTCATCAGGAAAGGAATATAAAATATTATAAATATTAAGATGGAAATATTAAGCAAATAGTAAGATGGGAAAACTGTCCACTTATCCTTCTGACAAGTGGCAGGAAAATATTGTTAAACCATCTTTTTTGAAGGAAGAATAATGGAAATGGAAACAATCACATAGCACCTTCTTGAAACTATAAGTGTGTCTCTTTTAAGGATAGGACTTTATACGGTCATTGCAAATGTTTACAATTGGAGAAGGAAAAGTTGGACAAAAAAGGCCAAAATGAATAGGACCTGGCATCCCCTGTAATCGTGGCTCCAAAGAGAGGAATTACAGGATTGTGTGTGGGTAATGTCCAAGTCATTTCTGAATCAAATCCAAATCCCCTAGCTGCTATCGAGAAAACACTATGCGAACCAACGGGTTCACAATCATCCACCTCACAGAAAAGGATATGCAGTCTTTGTGACTGCCCTAAGAGAATCCTATAATGTTGCTGGAGAAGGGCCAGAGAAAGGCAATGGGAATGATCCAGGTCAGGAGGGACTGTTAAATTTGTATAAATTCTTGTCTGCCAAGATAAATGTTGGGGAGGTGGCTGGTGGAAGTCTATAACATCAAAAGGGCACAGATAGGATAAACACGGAACTTACAGCCAGATGCTGTTAAAACCAGGATATGGGGAGAGGGTGGTAGATGTGATGACTTGGAGATTTCAGAAGTAAATTTAAGACGTATAACAGTAATATTTAATCCAATATAGAGTAAACATTGGTCACTTATTACCTCAATAGTTGGAAATGGTTGAAAATAGAAAGAACTCCAAAAGATGGTTTGCATAATTTGAAGTTGAATCATTCAGTTTTTATGTTTTGAGACTATATTCTTTTGAGTTTAGGGATGTGGTATTGCTTGATGTGCTGCTGTCAAACTTAATACTGGGGCAGATGGTCAAAGGTCAACCTAGCACTGTTTCTTTTCTTTTTAAAAAAATTTCAATAGTTTTGGGGGTACAGGTGGTTTTTGGTTACATGGATAAGTTCTTTAGTGGTGATTTCTGAGATTTTAGTGCATCCTTCACCCAAGCAGTGTAAACTGTACCCAATATGTAGTCTTTTATCTCTCCTTCCCTCCCAACCTTTCCCCGGACCTCCCTGAGTCCCCATAGTCCATTATATCACTCTTATCCAGCGCTGTGTTTCTTATATTCCCCTGAAGAAAAGAAACTGGCCAAAGGCATTTTATCTAGGTCTCAGGAAATACAACCCTGTAACTATTTGAAGGATTCACATTTTTGGCTAATATCCTAAGCAGAACCTAGAATAGGTTTTAAACCTTTTCACAACTCTCTATGAATGTTCATTTCTTCGCTTTTTTCTGCCCTTAATTTGCATCTGAATATCATAAATCATTGGTCAGCCTATAGGCTGACAAAGAATATGCTCAAAGAACAGAAGAAAGCTGTGCTTTTTCACCTTTGTGCATTATCTGCACCCCCCACCTCAAATTCCTTAAATAGAAACTTTGTTCCTGGCTCAAATGTGAGACTTAATGTTTATTTACCTAGATGTGATAGATTTAACATTTTATCTTCCTGAAGTTTCCATTGCCATTCAGTCAATTAGTACCACCCCAAATAGCACAGCTTCCAGAACAAATTTTTATAGAATAATGTTAGTTTTCATTTTTATAGTTATTAAGCTTATTAAACATCACCTCATTAAATTATTAAGCAATCTATGTTTTCAATCACAGTTCCTTGAGAACCTCCCTCAAACGTTGTTCCAAAATCAAAATGAACTAACCTACAGCAGTGTTTTGCCTGACTAGTCTCTTCTATCACAGATGATCATGTCGATTTGGCTTGACTTTCTTTTAGTGGATTCTTGTTTATTCCTAGAGATGTCTTCCACTTTCTTATGGCTCACAACCATCTGTTTAATAACCTTTCCCAGAATACAACCTTTTCTAGAATAGCACAGAGTGTTACATAGAACAGACAGTCAAAATCTTCGGTTGAAAGGATTATTGTGTTAGCTCATGGATAAAGGATATACTATTGATATGGTTTGCCTGTGTCCCCACCCAAATCTCATCTTGAACTGCAGTTCCCATAATCCCCATGTGTCATGGAAGGGACCTGGTAGGAGGTAACTCAATCATGGGGATGGTTACCTCCATGCTGTTCTCATGATAGTGAGTGAGTTCTTACAAGACCTGATGGTTTCATGAGGGGCTTTTCCCCTACTTTGCTCTGTACTTCTCCTTGCTGCTGCCATGTGACGAAGGACATGTTTGCTTCCCCTTCCGCCATGACTGTAAGTTTCCTGAGGCCTCCCCAGCCCTGTGGAACTGTGAGTCAATTAAACCTCTTTCCTTTATAAATTACCCAGTCTCAGGTATGTCTTTATTAGCAGCATGAGAATGGACTAATACAAGTATATTATATTCCACTATATGGTGAGTACCTTGGCATGGCCCTCATTTAGCGAATTTTTTCCCATGGACGGATTCCTTCTTTTCTTTTCATCTCTTTGTTCTTCTTCCCTTCCTTACATCAATTTTTTGAAAGGTTCACTATCTGCCAGGGGATAAGGAAAATATGGGGTGTGGCATCTAGTTCTGAGCAGCCACATTAAGAAAGAGGAGAATATACTGAACAGTCCTTCATATTATTATTCTATGTAATCACTGGGACCATTTAAAAACTTTTAAGATACACTTACATAATTAATGCTTACTATGTGTTACACATTGTCTTAAGGATTTTGCAATCATTAACTCATGTAATCCTTATGACAACCTTATAAGGCACTTATTGTATTATTATCCCCATATACAGATGAGAAAACTGAGGCACAAAGCTGGTAACATGGAGGCTGTATTCAAATCCAAGGAGTCTGGCTCCAGAGTCTGTGCTTTTTTAGCCACTGTATTATGCATCTATGAGAGTAATAGGAGAAATGTTCACAGAGACCAAATCATTATTTGATGTCCCTTTGAACAGAGAAGACAACACAAAGAAAGCAAAGAGATAAATAGAAAAGAAGAAACAAAAGCTGAGATGCATAAAAGCCATCAAATTTATTTTATTCTAAAATATGTAAGACTTCAGGTCTAGAAATATCTATAAGGGTTAAAAGCCCCTTTCAAGATGCCACAATGTTACACTATAATCAAATCAATCTTTCCCAGAAATTCTCCTTACAGCTGAATTTCATTCAGCACAGGTGAGAACCTGTACAGAAACTTTCTTTTATGCTCTTTTTGTCACCACTAGCAGCAGTTCCAAGCCTTCAGCTCCTTCTCTTCAAATCCTGGCCTATGACAGTCTGTTTCGCCTCTCGATTTCTCCCTGATCATATGATGACTGGTGCAATATGCCACATTCTAGTGTGTCTCATAACATGATGCTATTCCACGATTTCCTCTTTTACAATACCTTGTGCTTTCTTCCACCAGGCCGCCTAAAATGGAATCTTGATCAAACTCCCTGCGGGCATTGCCATAGTTATACACACATCCAGAGAAAACAGCAACTGCTACTTGGCACTGAGATTTTGGAAGTTCTTAGAGTACAAATTAAAGCTGAATTGTACTTTCCGTTTAAAGAGACCCTAGGAGTATGTCTCTATTCATATAACAAAAGAAAATATGTGTTTTAAACTTTTTCACAGCAGAATTGTTTTAGAAAAGGCTTTGAAAACTGAAGAATTCCTCCCATCTGGGTAGAATCTTGAACATTTTTCACAGACAATCTTGTACCTCTTAAAAAGCTAAATGTATTAAATATAAAAAAAGAACTTTGAGTTTCCCAAATGCTTTTCAGACAGTCAACAATAAGTATAACTTATTATTAACATGAATGTCAAAGATAAAATTATTGCTTGATTTTTCAGTAATTCTTAAAACTAATCTGATTTTTTAAAATAAACTTACCAAAAGAGGTAAAACAAACTTTTTTTTTTAGCCATGATCCCAAGTTAGATAAGACAGACTATCAGAACATGGAAAAATATCAAATAGCACTTAGTGCAAAGTTTTAATTCAGTAGAGTCTCTAGAAAGACTGAATTCATATAAAGACTATATAGTAGTTCTTTTTCTTTTTTTCACATCCTTTTTCTCTATAGAGTTTGATTCACTCTCCTATGGCAAGGAGATTTCCAAAACTATTGCATACTAAAGTTTAAATAAGCTTCCCTCACATTTTTCCCCTTCCCTCAAATTTTTCCCTCTCTACATTCCAGAGTAGCTGTTAGAAAACATCTGATGGTAATAAACAATGTCCTTTCCTCTGTGAAGGGAAACACTTCCTGGTCTTTTTTGTTAGTAGAAATATCTGACAAGACAGGAATCAGATAATTATTGTTTCTAAATTGAGGGACTTCCCCCATATCCTTCTGTGAACCAGTGCAACCCCAGGTTTTGGAGAAAGCTGCCAGAAGGAAAGGATGGCTAACATTATTCTGAAACATGATGCAATCTCTCAGACTCATTATTTTATTTAATGAAATGTGTGTCATTGTTGATGAGCAAAAAATTTTATTTGATGGAAACTATGCCATCCAAAGACTTCAGCCTCAAAAGAAATTTCATTCTGCACTGATTTAAATTGAATTTTCTTTTTCTACCTCCTGATTATAAAAATCTTTCTTTTCCCCACATTGAAAGACTAATTGGCTTTCATGACTAAGCAAGCACAGGAACTCCTATTGTTCTGAGTACCCACCCCATCCCTCTCTAAATAAGCACATTGGCTAGGTATTCCTACTACGACTATTAAAATACATTAAAAGTACCCAATTTATATCTAACTCACCCAGCCACAGCTGTAAAAAGAGCAGTGACACCAGTGGAATGGAATAGAGACCGAAACTCAAGGACAAAGATGAATCAAGCAAGTTCAATCCCTGCATACAGACCAATTAGGAAGAGTCCTGGTATTACTGGCATGTTGATCACGGGACACATAAATGCTAGGATTTAGGTTAGGTTACCTTGGTTTAGTCCTCCCAATAAACCCATGAGACACGTGGTATTTTCTCATATATTACAGACAGAACAAAAAGTCCAGAGAATCTAAGTAATTATCTCAGGTAGTACCTATAGCTGGTCAACAGCAGAACACAGTAGAATCTTCCTGTCTAACTATTTCTCTAGTATCTCTAAATCTAATTACCTGCCAATCTGATAATGGCTAAGGAGTATTGGAGCAGGTAGTCTTTCCTCACCAAAGATTCATTCTCCTTCCTTCTTCCATTCTAACGAAACCCCTATGCATTGAGGTAACATGCAGATTCCTTTAATTACAGGAGTTATTCTCATCCTCCCAAGTCTAGGGATTGAAGCATGATTGATTACAACTAGCCATCTTCATCTTATTTCCCTTGACTAGTGATTGATAGCTAAAGGGCCAAGTGTGAGGGGCCAATGGAAGGTAGGACTGCTAGTGAGGACTTCCTTTTCAGAATTATAAGACAAAGAAAAGAAAGTCTTTTGCTCCTTTACTTTCATTCCTGCCTGGAATGTGGCTGTGATTTCTGGTAGTGCAGTAGACACCTTGCAACTGTTATACAAAGCAATGAGAATGGGAATGAAACCCAACATAGTAAGAAATAGCAAAAGTAAAGATGGAAAGAGGCTGTTCTCTTAATGCCAGGGTTAAGTAGTTAATTCAATAGCAGCAACTACCTTCTTCCAGACCTCTTCATATTTGAGATAAGTAAACAGTTACTTAAGTCATTAATAATAGGGTATTTTATTAATTGCAGCTGATAAATATAGCTATAAAGTCAACTTAGACTAGAATGTGCTATTCGATGAACAATGTAAAAAGCTTTGGTTTGTGTTGGTTACTTAGAAGATGCTGAGAATACCTACAACCTTTCGGTGGTACAGCAGACCCAAGTATGCACTCCCCTCTTACAGATCATTAGTGAGTAACCCTTTCCTAGATCAGGACATTTAAAAATTGTTGACATATGAGTGTATGTTGTAGACTTTCCCAAACATTTTAAATTTCAGTGTCAAAATCTCCCTATCATATCACTAAGAATCTCAAAACATCTCAAAAAAGTCTTCCTCTGTATAGATTGAATGAGTGTTTACCAGGTGCTAGGCTCTGTGCTGAGTGTGGGGATTCAGAAATGACAAAACAACATCCTTGCTTGAAGACACTTAGTCTGACAGTGGAGATGAAAAATAGAAACACGTATGCATTAAAATAAAATGTTGGAAGCAACTTCTGCCTTTAGGGGACAGGAAAGACATGAGAGAGGAGGGATATCTGGCTGCGGCAGTGAGGTATGGGTAAGAGCTTGTTGGAAGGAAAAGCAGGGCAAAAGCTATTCAGAGAAACAAGGGGTAATTGTATAGAGAGGGAGTCACAGAAAGGCATCATGTACAGTGGGGTAGGAGAATTTGCAAAAAAGGACTGGAAGATAGGAAATGAGACCAGAGCAGACTGTAAACTGCTGTAAATGCTCTGACAAACTGCTTAGAGCTTAGCCTGTAGACAACGTAGAACAATAGAAGGCCTTTAAACAGCAGAGAATAGGGTCGGATCTGGGGAGATGATTCATTACTTCAACGTTTTTCTGTAAGATAACTATAATACACAATCATGTAAAAATTTAAATAACAAGGAAGTATAGGCTGGGCATGGTGGCTCATGCCTGTAATCCCAGCACTTTGGAAGGCCGAGGTGGCCGGATCACCTGAGGTCAGGAGTTCGAGACCAGCCTGGGCAACATGGTGAAACCTCATCTCTACGAAAATACAAAAAATTATC
Organism: Homo sapiens; assembly: GCF_000001405.40. NCBI lineage: Eukaryota > Metazoa > Chordata > Mammalia > Primates > Hominidae > Homo > Homo sapiens. The sequence continues at coordinate 239,772,312 of NC_000001.11, read as the reverse complement.
CGGTTGTGGCGGTGCATGCCTGTGATCCTAGCTACTCGGGAGGCTGAGGCAAGAGAATCGCTTGAACCCGGGAGGCAGAGGTTACAATGAGCTGAGATTGCGCCATTGCACTTCAGCCCGGGTGACAGAGTGAACCTCCGTCTCAAAGAAAAAAAAAGAAAAGTATATACATAGAAATGGAAAGTTTCTTTCTTTGTCTTCATACCCACCCCTCTCAGGGGAAGATGCTAATAACAATTGTTGTATATTCCTCTGGACTTTTCAATTTTACGCACACTGTATCACCTATTTTATCTTTCTTTTGTTTCTCTTTGTATGTCTCTATCTCCTCTCTGTCTCTGTATCTATCTTTTTAACCAAGATAGAACCACAAAGAAATAGAGGATATTTTTGTAGTTTACTGTTTGACCTAAGAATATACTGTGGATATCCTTTCCTGTCCACACATACAGATTGACCACACTGCTTTTCATATCTGCATATTTATCTAAAACAGGGCTTTGAAACCTATGGGCCTGTAGGCCAAATGTGGCATGCTGTCTGGAAGACAGCCACACCCATTTGTGTGTGTATTATCTCTGGCTGCTTTCTTGATATAAGGGCAAAGTTGAGTAATTATGACAGAGGCTGCATGGCCCTCAAAGCTTGATATATTATAATACTATCTGCCCCTATACAGAAAATGTTTGCCGACCCTTGGTCTACATTATGTACACACTAGAATGAATTTCATCATTTCTGCCTTGACGTCCACTTAGGTCACACAGTTATTTTGTCACAAATAAGGCTGCAACGAATAACCTGATACATCTTTGTGCTCAGAAGCGAGTGTTTCTGTAGGAGAGTTTGCTAGAAGTGGAGGTGCTGTATGAACAGATTTCCATTCTTTTTTCTTTTTTGGCGGGAATCCAGGTGGCAGTGTGGAGAGGAGTCTGGAGCAAGGAGTCTCAGGGAATGAGATCAATTAGGAGGCTATTCCAATAATCCAGGGCAGAGAGGAGGCAAGCCCAAAGGTGCAAACGGAAGGAGGCTAGAACTGAAGAGATATTTGCGAGGAATTATTGAGAATGATAATTGGATGAAATGAAGAAGGGAGAGGGCGGCTAACATGCTTCTGAGATTAAAAGTTTGGGTAACTTATTCACTGAAAATAAAAAATCAGCATCATCTGAAATGTGAAACTAATAAAGGATGTTTTACTTGAATGTCACCTTTTTTTTTTTTTGAGATGGAGTCTGGCTGTGTTGCCCAGGCTGGAGTGCAGTAGGATGATCTTGGCTCACTGCAACCTCTGCCTCCCAGGTTAAAGCAATTCCCCTGCCTCAGCCTCCATAGTAGCTGGGATTACAGGCACCCACCACCAGGCCCAGCTAATTTTTGTATTTTTAGTAGAAACAGGGTTTTACCATTTTTGATCAGGCTGGTCTCAAACTCCTGACCTCAAGTGATCTGCTCGTTTCAGGCTCCCAAAGTGCTGAGATTACAGGTGTGAGCCTGTATCTTAAGACAAATTGATATAAAACTCACTTGGGTACTTTCATTTTGAGATAAGCAGGCATGATTATGAACAAAGGCTTGTGGTTCCTTATATCACCAATGATAATTATTTTAAGTCTAATAGTTCCCTCTGCAGCTGTCATCACTCAGGTCCCTCTACTTTCTTGGGCATGGAAAACCTTTCCTGGTCATTCAAGCAGTCATCTTCCGCTCAGTCCTTTCCTTCATTCCCCATAACTGCAGACTACGTGGCTAAGGCAAAGATCCTTGAACCCTTAAAATCGTGATTATTGAAATTTTTATCCAGGCTCTTAGCTTTCTTCTGAAGCACATCTTCATAGGAGGGCATATATTTCCTGTCTATATCCTCAAATCCCAAGTTAAACCAATTTTCACATTTCACTAAGATTATGTCTTTCACTTGACCATTTTTTTGTTGTTGTTGCCAAAAAATAAATTTACCATACTACAGGCATTACTGATTAAACTGAGATGAGGAAAGGGCCACAAAGCCAAATGAATCTGCAAACACATACACTGTCTAGGCCCACCCACTGATCTTGGAGCCCATTCAGATCTAGGCCTCCACAAACCTACGTCCCGTGAATTTTAGGAGCAACAACACATGCTTGAAATGAAAGCTAATAAATCTGAAAATACCATAGGTCGGCTGTACTCTCCAAGCACTGTGGAATTTTCCACAGTCAGTGTTCAACGTATTTTGATATAGAGCTTTTGTGAGTATGAAACCAGAGTGCTCCAGAATCTAAAAAGTACTTGAAAATGAGGTAAGATCATTACGTTTGGCTTTTTTGGTTAGTTTTTGTAATTTTTAAGTGGGAGGTGCCCCAGTAACAGACTTTAGCTAAAAAGAATGTGATGTATGGCCCTAAAAGAAACAGGTGAGCCCAACGCAAATAATTTTTTTTTTTTTTGAGACAGAGTCTAGCTCTGTTGCCCAGGCTGGAGTGCAGTGGTGCAATCTCTGCTCACTGCAACCTCTGCCTCCTGGGCTCAAGCAATTCTCGTGCCTCAACCTCCCATATAGCTGGGACTACAGGCACCTGCCACCAAGCCTGGCTAATTTTTGTATTTGTAGTAGAGATGGGTTTCGCTATGTTGGTCAGGCTGGCCCTGAACTCCTCACTTCAGGTGATCTACCCGCCTTGGCCTCCCAAAGTGTTGGGCTTACAGGCGCCACACAAATAATTCTAAACCTACAGGAGGAAAATGGATGCATTTACTGAGTGATCTGGAAGGAGAAGAGCTACAGCGACAAAGTCAATGGCAAAATGTCACGACTCTTTTGGGAACACAGTGCTTATACAACTGTTCTACATGCTGAATAGATCAGTCATCTCATTACCAAAATTCACATTTTAAAGGAAAGAACATCTTGGGGCTCTCTGTCTATGAAATCCTGCAACTTTGATACTAAAGTTCTTAGCTCTGAGGCCAAGTCTTACAGGGTTGACATAACAATAACATCAATGCCTTTGCCTGAGACCTTTGAGATCATATCCAGGGAAATGCAGAGTAGGACAGATGAAAGCCTCACCAGGCCGGTGGCGGGCACAGCAGTCCTTCCCTACTTATCCATTGCCTACCTGTTCACCCCATCCTGGGAGGGAAAGGCAAGTGTCAATATCCCTGCCACTTTCCCTATAGAACAATTGAATGAAAGAAGAAATTCCTGGCATAGATGTGCAAAATCATGCAGAACATATTCTGAAGAAAAAAAAAGTCGCTTAGGTCAGGCACAGTGGCTCATGCCTATAAACCCAGCATTTGGGGAGGCCGAGGTGGGTGGATCACTTGAGGTCAGGTGTTGGAGACCAGCCTGGGCAACGTGGTGAAAATCTGTCTTTACTAAAAATACAAAAATTAGTTGGGCATGGTGGCGCGTGCCTGTAATCCCAGCTACTCAGGAGGCTGGGGCAGGAGAATTGCTGGAACCCAGGAGGTGGAGGTTGCAGTGAGCTGAGATCATGCCATTGCACTCCAGCCTGGGTGACTGAGAGAGACTCCATCTCAAAAAAAAAAAAAAATTATCATTTAACTCTGGCTCCTAGTGAGAAGTAAGGCAAAGAAGAGACTTCTGATATGGGAGAAGGTTACATCTGGAAAACATTCTCAGCCCTCTACATCTCTCCATGAGCAATCACCACAGCGTCTAAGGATTTTAATAAAGGAACTATCAGATGAAGGAAAAAAGGAGAATTCCAAATCACTACCAAATGTTTAGAAGCCACAATTCTTTTATTCTTTACAGCATGTTTATTTCAACCTGCATTTAGCATTTATTTAATTTTCACCATGTTTATTTTCACCATGTTGGGCTTTCTGGAAGGCATAAGTGCTGCGTCATTCATTTTTGTATCACATTTTCATCCATCCCTTCCCAACTCCAGTATGAACCTGGCATATATTAGGTACATGAACAGCTACGTAATTTTACCCTATCCTGACTACTGCCTTTATTCTAGTGTTTTCCCCCCAAAAATCTGATCTTTAAATAGTTAGATTGATGGAGTTCAATGCTTCTGAAGTGAACGCTAATCCTAAGATATGCTTTAGGAGAAAGAATTTACGTTACCAAATAGATCTGAAAAATTGGGCATACTCTATTCTCTTTTTGGAAAATCACAGTGCATATTAGCAAATTAAAGCCTCTGAGATGACTTGCAATGAAGAGATCATTTCAAGCCTGTTTTGCTCAGTCTTTCCTATTATGTTGAATAGGAGCATTTTATTGTTGTTGTTGTTTTAATCGTATCTATTGACATACTCTGGAATTATTGTTCTTTAGAACATTGCTATTCAAACTGTGACCTATGGACCAGTAGCATTGAAATCACCCGGGGCTTGTTATAAATGCAGGCTCTCACGTCCCACTCCAGCCCACGTGAACCAGGGCCGGCTCTTAAACAAGATACCCAGGTGATTCACACACACATCACTGCAGAAAAAAACCTGAGGAAACTCAGGTGTAATGGAAAAGGATTTAGCTTGGAAAACCAGGTAGATCCATCTGATTCCATCAGTTACAAATTATGTGATCTTCTGCAAGAAAATCGGTATCTTGCACGATCATTGTGAAGATTAAATAAAATAATATACCTAAATCACCTGGCACATAATAAATACTAAGTAAACTACAATTTATATTAGGATCATTATTCATGCTCTACATATACTTCACTTATTATATAATTATAGTCATTGATTTTAATTGACCAGCAGAATTGATTTGTTAACCATATTGATTCTAGGAAGTTAGTATAATTAATGTGTGCTACAATCAAAGGAGAATATCATAACCCCCAAAGTCCCCTTTTGCTTCCTCTTTCAAGAAGCTGTTTTTATTATAGGAAATCTATACTTACAGAGGAATAGGAAGATGTTTTATACAAGTCCAAGATGTTTGTCTTTGAATTGCATCCCCTCCTTTCCTCTGGAGCAAAAAAATGGAGGACTCAGAATTGGAATTTCTCATGCCTGAAAGTTTATATTTCTAAGGACCACACATTTTATGTCATTAATACCCTAATATTTAATTAACAATTTAACTTTAATTTATCTTAGGCATGTATAAACAGTATCCATTTACTTAAAAAAAATCACGCCAGCCTGGTTTTCATGTTCCATGTGACAAAGATTTTCTGAACTTTTATCAGGAAAAAAAGTACAAAATTCAATTGGGGAAGAGGTGAAACTAATTGAGAAAAAATATAATTAGCAAGCAAATATCCTTTCTGTCTACATTTACTATTTTTGCCAGATTATTTAATATATATATGGTGAGGCCAAGCATGGTGGTTCATGCCTGTAATCCCAGCACTTTGGGAGGCTGAGGCGGGTGGATCGACTGAGGTCAGGAGTTCGAGACCAGCCTGGCCAAAATGGCGAAACCCTGTCTCTACTAAAAATACAAAAATTAGCCAGGCATGGTGGCGTGTGCCTGTATTCCCAGCTACTCAGGAGGCTGAGACAGGAGAATCATTAGAACCCACGAGATGAAGGTGGCAGTGAGCCCAGATCGCACCACTGCACTCCAGCCTGGGTGACAGAGCAAGATTCTGTCTCAAAGAAAAATTATATCTATATCTATATCTATATCTATATCTATATCTATATCTATATATCTATATCCATATCTATCATCTATATCTATCTATATTTATGTCTATCTATAGACAGATATCCTGTGAACTTCGTTTGTATTTTGTATCCACAAAAGCTTTGAATGGCCAGATAACATCTAATTTATTCCTTTTTGGGGGGCTTTTATTTTAAGTTCAGGGATATAAGTGCAGGTTTGTTACATAGGTTAACTTGTGTCATGGGGGTTTGTTGTATAGATTATTTCATCATGCAGGTATTAAGCCTGATATCTATTAGTTGTTTTTCTTGATCCTCTCCTTGTATTTATTTACTATAAATATATTTATTCAGCTTAAAGGACTCTTGTTATCTATCTTAGATTCCAACAAGTCTTGGTGACAATGCACTGTGATGCATGGACTGCTTTTCTTCTTGTTTTCCCTCCATTTTATTCTCCCCACATGGCATCATATCCATGTATGGTAATCCTACATTTGATAATAAGCCCTCGGGGCTTCAGTTATTTAGACATGCCATTTCTTCTTTCTTATCTCTCCCAGATCTGGCACTTATTTTTATTAAGAAAATACTCATGCATGGCCGGGCGCGGTGTCTCATGCCTGTAATCCCAGCACTTTGGGAGACCAAGGCGGGTGGATCACCTGATGTCAGGAGTTCAGGACCAGCCTGGCCAACATGGTGAAACACTCTACTAAAAAATACAAAAATTAGCCTGGTGTGGTGGTGTGCACCTGTAATCCCAGCTACTCGGGAGGCTGAGACCGGAGAATTGCTTGAACCCAGAAGGTGGAGGTTGCAGTGAGCCAAGATTACACCATTGCACTCCAGCCTGGGCAACAAGAGCGAAACTCCATCTCAAAAAAAAAAAAAAAGATAAAAAAGAAAATACTCATTCATTTTATTAAACTTAGTTCATTGCCAATTTGATTTTTCCCCCCAGTTTGGCCACATGAATGCTTGCTGAATATACTGACTGCTTGAGGCCCTTTTTAACGTATCCATACATTCTTACATCAAATACAGCAGTTAAAAGAAAGAAGTTGGGCTCTTTCCCTACAAAGCCATTTTTTGTGTGTAAGGAAATAAGTAGGTTTCGATTTTTAATACCAATCTGAAACCAGCAACATCAAGAAATTCAACCAGTTGGATTTTCGTCCTAAAAATGTGTATTCAGTTGATTTCTGTCAAATGTCACAGACTGTCAAAATAAAGTCTGCATAGGTTTCTTGTCTGTTGCTATAAACAATTAGCATCACAAATGTCATAACTAGAAAATAATAAAGCATTAACCGGGCCTGACCCTGAACAGGACTTACTTCCCTAGTGGTGAGTGCGTAAGTAGCAGGCAAGGCACCAGGACCAATGGCCAAGGACCCCAGCGTTTGCTATGAGGCAATGGAGCATCAGGGAGGACAGAGATAGATCCCTAGGTTGCCTGAACGAAGAGATCTGCAAAGTAGTTTGCTGCTTCTGTCATGCAAGATCAACCCTTACTGCAAAAAGACTGGGTGGCCCAACTGTGGCACCCCTAGTGCCATCTCAAACAATCTGGTTAAGGCACCCTGTGACCGGTCCCATCACCTCATCTCTAAAATTAGGAATTACTAATAACCCCTGAGGCTCCTTTCATTTTCACACTGTTGTAAGTCTGTGATTCCAGATGGCCCAAGGAATTTTCTTTTCTGGAATATTCTGAAATGTAGATGATGGAAAAAGGCAAAGCCTTTCTAGAATCATGGTATTTCACCTCAGTGGAGGCCAGTCAACTGCGTGACTAAATTCCTTCACAGGATCACACTTGTTCACCAACAAAAGGCAATTTCTGGCTCACTGAACAGTACTCTCTTGAATAGTAACTATGTGGAAGATGTCTTCACCTGTTCAGAATTTGTCAAGCCCAGAGATAAATCTCATGAGACGTGGCTAGAGAATAGCCTCTTCTTGCCAAAATGATTTATTGAGTTAATGTAGCTGAATTTATCAGCTCATTTTCCCATAGTTGGAGATTTGCCTGTTAACATAATTGTTTTCTGTTATGGACAACAGCAGCAGGCATCTGTAGGCACACTGGGAAAGGAGATAAAGTGATTCAGAGAAGTGGGATTTGTACAGCAGCTATTTAAAACCTCTTTGGGTTTCCTCAAACCCCTATTCCACTTCACCCCCTTGCCCATACCCAAGTCTCATGCCCAATACACACACTCAGAGCAGCTGATCTGCCCCATAGTATTCACTGAGACAGCAGAACAATTCGGATGGGAACTTGCTCAATATGCACTCACCATGCAGCTTCTATGCTAATTCTTTCCTCTTTTCCTTCTGTTCTGATGGAAGAGAAGACCCTTCCTCATGCCAAGGATAATTCTTCGAACTAGTGTCAATATTCCCCTTTTTGGCCAAATTTTCAACATCCACTTCCAAGGACCCTGTTTGTCAACTTAGAATTCTTAAAGAGATATACAGATCAACATAAGATAACCACATTAATGAAGGTGGCACAGTAGGACAAATTACTAACTCTGGCACAATGGGGTAAAAGTTGGAAGTATCATCAGCTTATCATATTAATGTCCACTTTAGCCCCTGAGGATTTTTTTTTTTTTTTGGAGATAGGATCTCACTCTGTCGCTGGAGGGCAGTGGTGCAATCATAGCTCACTGCAACCTCAAACTGCTGGGCTCAAGCCATCCTCCCACCTCAGCTCCTGAGCAGCTGGGACTACAGGCATGTCCACACCATGCCTGACTAATTTTTTTTTAAGAGATGGGGGTCTTGCTATGTTGCCCAGGCTTGTGTCAAACTCCTGGCCTCAAGTGATCCTCCTTCTTAGGCCTCCCAAAGTTCTGGGATTACAGGGATGAGTCACCATGTCCAGCCAGCCCCCAAGGACTTAATGAGATAAAAGCTCCACCGAGAGAAAAGGTCTTAAATTGTTTGTCTTTTATATTCCCAGTGCCCGAATGTGAAAAATAATTAATGAGTCCTTTTTTCTTGAATATTGAAATGATTCATGGGAGTTCATGGCAGCACTTTTTCGGGGGTGGGGGCAGATCTCCAGATTACAGACAATAATATTTACTGCCTCCCATTTCATAGCACTTTGATGCTTTCAAAGTACTTTGGCCTATATTCATGCATTTGGGATTACTATTTGTTCTACATAGTATTGTAGAGCGCTCTATATTTAAGTGATGTTGTTAATTAACTACCTGACTTGAAAGAAAGTTCCTTTCTCTGGGACTACTCAATTTTATCATCTGTGCAATGGAAATAGTATTTCACAGAATAGCTATGAAGTTTAAATGATATTATATATTCATGAGACATTGAAAAGTCAAAGGAGCTATTTGCATGCTAGGTATTCTTTGCATGCCTTAAAAGCAGTTAGTAAAGCATGCATTGAAAATCTAGTGAATGTTAATAACCATTTGCCATGTTTTTCATTTATGAACTCCCAATACCAAGGCTTTTGTTTCAATTTAAGGCAATGGTTGTTCTTTTTGGTTTGAATGTTTTCTTTGTTAAAACATGACAGTTTTCTGTATATGCACCTTGTTCTTCCAGAAAAACAAAAAAAGCAAAAGGGAAAAAGGGAATAAGATTTCCTCATGGGTTCCATTTGCAGCATTTTAATAGCGTTCTTCTTAAAACCCTATATATTCTGGTGCTCTTAAAATAAAAATGGACCTCAAAAATGCCACAGAATTTTATAATAGTTTTACAATTATGACTATAAAAGGACAATTATACTCTGCCATTCTTACACAGCATCTTATAACAACAGGAAATTTCATTTTCAACTCATTTTTAACTTGTGATTCACTGTGGCTCCTACAGTCTTATTTGAATCCAGCCATTTTTATGATGACATGTGGCTTAGTTTCCTTTTAAAATTAAATACCTTGTAGTTTCATTTAATTTTACTTGCTTTCTTTGTGATCATCCTACTTGTCAAGGACATAATTAGCTCTAATCTTATATTTTGAGATTATGATTCCTTTTGGATTTTGGTATCATCTACAAATTTAATGAACATTCTTATTATTTCCTCATTCTTGCCACTGGTAAAATTATACAGAAAACTACAGGGGAGAAAGCAGAGTGAAAGCAAATATAGGCAGATGTATTTATCTGCAATGTTAAACACAGGCCCAATGATCACACATTAATTAATGTGAACATGTTATAAATACCCTTGGAGCACTTAATCTATTCATTAAACTGACCTTTATTAAGGATCATTTATGTACCACACACTTTGTTCTATGCAACCGGGGATTTCAAAAAGTATGTGTCATAAAATCTTCTCTCAAGAAATTCATGATTTATTGAGAAGCAACTTGTAAACCTCTTAACATAGAACACAGATGTTATATAATGATGCTAGAGAAAGTAAAAAACCGCAAAACTGCAGATGAAGTCACAATCAATTCTCTCGGGAAGAAGAGGGATTCACAAACTTTGGTTAGGGATGTGATTATTGAACTAGTATTAAAGGAGATGAAAAGGGTAAGCTAGATTTCTGCTCTGGTCATGATAGAGTTAAAAGAACTGGATTTACCCTATTGCCTCAACTACAAAACTGGATAAAATAGCTGAAACAATGGTTTTCAGACCCTGGGCAACAGGCAATGCATGACAGTGATCTCCAAGAAAAGGGAACCAAGCAAAGTGAACCCGAGGATCATTCCAGTCTACTCCCGGGAGAGAGCTTCCAGGCTGCAGTGCAGGGAAGGGACGTTCAAACAGAGCTCAGGTTCTTGCTGAATTGGAGAGACTGAATTGGGAATTCCAGGAGGCTAAGGGGGCTAGAGTCAGCAGGGCAGACTACCAAAGACAAGAAAGTGGCAAAGCGAGGAAATTCCAGACATCTGTCCGGTGCAACTGATCAATGTGAGCGTGTGAGAAATCCACCTGCGTCCAGGGACAGGACCACTGGGAAGAAGCTGCAGGAGCAATCTGCAGAGCACCCAGGCCAGATGCAGTTCACATTTCCACCAGCCAGAGTGAAAAGGCCCCCTAGCGCATGAGGCATCTGGCCGAGCACTCCGAAGCATATTGCCTCAGTGGTAGTGCCAGAGTAGGCACTTTTTGGTTCCTCCTAACACAGTTAAAAAGCAGGCCTAGAAAAGACTGAACTGTTTCCAATTTGGATGCATCCCCAAACAACGATAAAACATTTTAGGGGAATACAGAAAGTCTACGACCCAGTGATGTCCCCAGCAACTCAAAATATCTGGTATCAAATAAAAGAATCCTTAGACATGTAAACAAAGCAGAAACATGCAACACATAAAGAGAAAAAGAATCAATCAGTACAAATCAGACATGACATAGACGATATCATTTGTAGATGAGGGCATTAAAAGAGCTTATACACACACACAATCTCTCTCTATGTTGAAGAAGGTAAAGCACAAACATGATAAGGAAAATCATATAAGGCATAAAAAGAACCACATCAAACGTCGAGAGATAAAATATGCAATGTCTGAAATAAAATACACACTATCTTGGATTAATAGCATATTTTGAAACTGCTGAAGAAAAGATTAATAGGGATATATAGAGATATTAAACATCGCAAAGAAACCAGGGAGAAAAAAGACCAGAAAGAAATGAAAAAGCATTAAAAAAAAGTGAGCAGTGGGACAATATCAGATTGCTAAATAAAAAGATAATTGGAATCTCAGACATATTAGTGGTTTGGGCGAGGGGAGAGGAAAACAGATAAGATATCTGAAGACAAACAAACATCTGAAAAATCTCCAAATCTGATGGAAACGACAAGCGCATAGATTCAAGAAGCTTGGCAAATGCCAAGCACAAGAAACATGAGGAAAACGACACCAAGGACCATCATCATGAAACTGCTTAAAGCCAGGGATAAAAATACAATCTTCAAAGCGGTCAGAGAAAAAATGCAAATTATGAACAGAGGCATCAAGGTAACAATAACAGCCGAATTCTGGTCAGAGACAATGCAAACCACACATGAGCAGAGCGGCCCCTTTAAAGAACTCAAAGGAAAGAAAAAGTGAATCGACCTGGAGCTCAGAGCCAGATAAAATATCTTGAAAATATGAAAGTAAAAAAAAGAGAAGAGGAGCTCATGAGGGGAGAGGGACTAGTGTAAGGAAAGGTGTGTAGGTGGGAAAAGGCCCAGTGTGTTCAGCAATAGATAAGAAAAGAAGACCACGCAAAAAGGTAGACGAACAGGCAAGGTTGGTCATCAGGTGAAAAGACAGGTTAGTGGACGATCAAAGAGGCTCTTGACTGCCGTGCTACAATAAACTACATATTTTTTTTTCAGGCAAAGTAAGGATTTCAGAGATGATTTTTAACATGGGATGATATAATGCACAGTATTTTAGAAATATTGTTCTAAATCAAGAGTGGAGAACCCACTGCGGAGACAAATTCTCGAGAGAAAAATAATTATAAAATTACTTTAAAGAAAAGTATTGGCCGGGCACGGTGGCTCACGCCTGTAATCCTAGCACTTTGGGGGGCCGAGGTGGGCGGATCACGAGGTCAGGAGATCGAGACCATCCTGGCTAACACGGTGAAACCCCGTTTCTACTGAAAAAAAAAAAAAAATACAAAAAATTAGCCGGGTGTGGTGGCGGGTGCCTGTAGTCCCAGCTACTCGGGAGGCTGAGGCAGGAGAATGGTGTGAACCCGGGAGGCAGAGCTTGCAGTGAGTCTAGATCGCGCCACTGCACTCCAGCCTAGGCGATGGAGCGAGACTCCATCTCAAAAAAAATAAATAAATAAAAATAACAAAAATAAAGAAAAGTATTTGATACATCAAAAGACATGACATCTTGGAAGTGGATTCCAGATGATTCAGCGAAGCTTCTCTAGGTGCTGTAAAAAATAATGACCTTACTCCTTAATTAAATAAGCACTCAAAATTTTATTCCAGTAGAGAGAAAGCAGGGGCTGGAACTTGTTTGCTTGGTCCCTTTCTGGCCGTGTAAAAATGGGCAAAACTTGGCATGACCACATCTGTTTTTTAATTTCAAAATCTCTTAATTTTACAGTTCATTTCAAAACAAATTTTAAAAAGCAAATGACTATTTTTGCTTTTTTTATACACAGACTTAAGAACAAATTTGGATTTCTAAAAAGACATACTGCTGTTTTATTGGAGTGATAAGGCTGGATAATACTGCAGTTTAATTCTCCAGCCTCTTTTGTTTTGTGGTTATATGGCCAAGATTTATTTGGCCAAAAAGGCTGTGATTTCCTTTGCTGCGGCTTTTAAAAGTTTAGGGTACTTATATTCATCCTCACTTCCATTTTGATAAATTAATATAAAATAAAATCCTAGGTAAAATTTAACAGATAATACAGTAGCTTTTTTTTTTTTCAAAATAATGTGTTTCCTATTGAGATAAAATTCAGCCAAAGGTGTGTATATACATATATATTCAAATATGAGTTTCATCTCTGCTAAAGCATGCAGACATTCAGGATAAGCCTCTCTCTAAAAAAAAAAAAAACAAAAAAAAAAAACAAAAAAAAAAACCCATAAAGCTCAGGGGGGAAAATGCTCAAGTTCTGATTGGTTTTCATGCCTGCTTTTTTGCTTTAGGTATGGAGCCATTTAATAAACCTGAATGCTTGACTTCCAACACTGTGGAAATATCTACAAATTTAAACATCAAGTACCTGATTATAAGACAACCTATACTGCTGATTCTCTTACTTCTTACAAAAGAAGCCTTAGGCTTCACATTTCCTGGCAGGAGGCCTCAGACAACCAGATGCATGAGGATTAGAAATCGCACCCCTGTCTCACTTACATTTCTGTGACAGTCCAAGCTCTACTACATGAATATCTATGAGACCAACTTGCGCGCTTCTGAAATTCATCAATAGCTGCAATAATTTACCAAAAAACACAGTAGACTCTGTCAACAAAGAGTTTTTCTAAGGGGGAAAAATATCTTAGAACTATAAAATAAAAAATAACCTTTCCTTTGAAAAATTGCTTTTAATAGTCCAGGCGATTTGAAGCAGAACTGCTTTTGATAAACAAGCCAATTTTTTTAAAACTGTGAGCATTCAAGCATTTAATAATTTCAGTTAGCTCAAAAATTATAAAGCATGAAGAAAACTCCCAAAATGTTGGATACATTTGGAATCATTTACACCTATGCTATTAATATCTTCATATTCCAATAAGCAATTGCCAACCATTTTCATGTAAATGTGCTGCTGCTTGTACAATATCATTACAATGATTACATAGCACCTTGTTTGTTGGGGTGGGGAAGGGATACACGTAGCCTAACATTCACTGACTCATTCAACTTGCACTAATGAAGACCTGCTACATGCAAGCACCAAGTAAGATGCTGTGGGAAATACGAAGATGAACAAAAATACATCTTCTGCCCACCACTTAGTACACAGGTATTTAAAATACTAGATGTAAAAGGCTCTATCCTAACTAATATTTTGAGACATTTATTTAAAGTTTCAGGAGCTATAATTCTTTGAAAGTATCTTATTACATCAAGACAAGCTTTTCCCTACCCTCAGCCTCAATGGGCAGTTTTAGGTATCCATGCTAAGTGCAGGAGAGTTGTATAAGGTATTTAGTGTTATAAACCAATATCTGTTGTTGTTATACAGCAAACACCAAGATCTAGCATTGTTTTCTTTGGCAGTGCTGGGAATTACTTAATTATATGAAATAACCACACATAGGGTGTTTCCAATTGACTGACTGTGTCTAACCTAGAGTGACTCAGGAAGAGTGACTTGTCTTTAAACATCTTCATACCACCAGGATTACGTGCTTAAGCCACTGCTGCTTCATTAAGATACCTACTTTCTTTTGTCTCTTTCAGGAGATGGGCAAACAGAATGCATTAACATTCAACGTTCATTTACCAAATGTTTATTGAGCATTAAAGTGAGGAAGGCACAGGATTAAACTGGATGGCTTTTATTGAACTTCTACTTCACATAGCCACTGGCAAGTACATAAAAAATATACGATTCAGACATTCTTAATGAGGATGTCTTTTCTTTTTTTTTTTTTTCTGAGACGGAGTCTCACTCTGTGACCCAGGCTGGCGTGCAGTGGCGCGATCTCGGCTCACTGCAAGCTCCACCTCCCGGGTTCACGCCATTCTCCTGCCTCAGCCTCCCGAGTACCTGGGACTACAGGGGCTCGCCACCACGCCTGGCTAATTTTTTGTATTTTTAGTAGAGACGGGGTTTCACCATGTTAGCCAGGATGGTCTCGATCTCCTGACCTCGTGATGTGCCCAGCACTGGGCCTCCTAAAGTGCTGGGATTACAGGCGTGAGAGGATGTCTTTTCTACAGTTCCTTCAAAATAGGTTGTATATACGGAATGGAGATGTAATACACATTCATTAATAAAACAGGATAAGAAATGTAAACAGTTGATCTTTCAGTATCTCACTCCTTGAATTAACAACTAAATGAAGTTTGGGATAAATATTAATTTGAAACTATTTCACGGATGAAGGATATAAATTGTAATAACAGTTTTTTAAAAACCTTTCATACATTTGTCTTGAAATTCTCAAAGTCCTTTACAAATCATATTCACAATGTCATGTGAGAGAAAAATGGTAATTTTATTGTCAAGTGAAAAATTTGAGGCTACAGCAGGATACGTGGTCTATTTTAAATTCCACTAAATAGAGTATGGATAAAACTCTTCAGTGATCACGAGTCACTTGTCTAATGCTTAAAAACTCAAACAATTGCATACACCTCAGAATTCCCTGATAAATTAAATAAAAACAGTCTAAAATATACCTCTGTGCAAAATTATTATGCAAAGCATTATGCAAAATTATGTGAAAATATTATATTAAACATCTCAGAAATGAATAATATGAGAAGAGGCAGCACTGAGAAAAGTGAACAGTTTACCTATGCTGTCAACTCTGGGCATCAAAATTTAGTTATAGAACTCGATGGTTCTATAATCAAAACTTCACATAGAAAACAGGTCAGCCATTACTCTCCACCAGTTTTTGCACTTATAGCACGTGCTTCATTCTTTTGGAGAACCTTCATTGTTTATCATTATTTCAGCAATGACTATATTTTTCCTCCTTATTAGACATTGGGTATTAGAATTATAGTGGTCCAGCACACACAAACATTTTAGGGCTATGCATGTTATGTTATCAACATCTATTAACATCTCCCTGAAATAAATTGGTAGGTAGAATTCTAATCCACAAATAAGAATACAATTATATTAACCTAAGGGTTAATAAAGAGATAATGATCTGTTATGCAAGCTTTAGTTATTATGGAACAGATATGTTTCATTTTGGTAGCATTGAGTTTCAGTCAAATTCTTAAGTCCTCTTTATTCATCATAGTACAGACTGACTAGGAGAAGCTCCCTTCATCACTGTAATGAGTGTTGAGAAGTCAATGAACCAGCCTGACTCTGTACGTTATAGTGAGATTGAGTCATTATGGATCCAAATGCACATGAGAAAATCAAGTGAATTATTAGGCTGGTGCAAATGTAATTGCGGGCTTTGCCATAATACATACAGTACCAAGAAATCTGTAGGTCAGAATGACATCTATCATTTGCTGGGGAAGCTTAGGAAACTAGAGAATTTGTTGTTTTTTGCTTTGAAAAGTTCTCACTTTCAAAGGTGGATTTCTGGAATGAGTTCTACATACAACTGCCTCATCTATATAGTTTTATTAGGGAATACGATATTCTAAAAAAAGTGATTTTTTTCTTTGTATTCCCTGTAGCAAGATGCTGTGGGGAATATGAAGATGAACAAAATACATCTTCTAAGACAACCATAGCTTAGTCTTATAATTAACACTACTTTCCAACATTCCCAAATTTGAGAGGAAGCTTGTAAAATGTGCTGCAAACCACTCTGGCTTGCTCCAGTATGGTTATGGTGATCACCAGTGACTACAAGATCCCAGCAAGAGCTGGGAACCAACAGTGCTTCAGAAACTACCCATTGTGCTGGCTTCTCTGAACACAACCACCTGGTCTCCGACCCTCCTGGCTTGGAAGCTTCTTAATTATTTTTAAATTAATGTTTCATACCCTTTTTCTGTACCCTTTCCTTGCTAGGTTATAGGCAGTCTCCTTTTGTGGTCAATCTGAACTAAATAAATCTCTGGCTGTTCATTTTCTGTTGTGAGCTAGAAAAGCAGATAACCAAGTTTCTTAGAATTGTATGTCAATTAGGAATAAATGGACTTTGAGGATAGTCTGAAGGTTTTCCATTATCGGCATAAAAATCAGGAACTTTATTGCTTTTACTATGCCCTAGATATTTGAGGTTTACAGTTAACTCACTTCCTGATAAGTGAGGTTTTATTGTGTTATTTAAATGAAACTCAATGATTTACAGAACTCAGCTGGGGGCTGCCTGACATACTGAAGGTAAATAAAACCTTTCAGAATGTTGATCACAACATCCCTGATGGTTTTGGACAGAATCCTTTTAAAAAACAGGAGGGTGGAGTCCTCTGGAATCTTTAACCTGGGTAATAGAAGCATTGGTAAGGGTATGGTTTGGATTCAGTTTTAAGAGAACAAAGAAAGGATAAACCTCATTAGAATTAAAAAGGATTCTACCTCAGTAAAATAGGAAAGCTCTTGTAAGCTTTGATGAAACAGGAAAGTCCCTTAATCCAATGCCTAATTCTTTTAAGACAAGATAGGATAGCCTTGGGTCAGTATTTTTTAAATTAATTAATGATCTTAACATGAGAATTAGATTGCTCATTTTTTTTCCCACAATAAGACAAATTATGGAAGAAAATCTTCCATCCTACCCTGTGCCTCCTTTAGCCTCTAGAGGACTAGACCGTAACTCATGAATTTGAAATTTTTTCTTCCTTGCTGTTGGTTAGGTAGGGGTAACCCAAGGGTCACAGCTCCACTATAAACACAGCACTAGTCCCCACAGATTCTGGTAGGGTTCTTTGGGTCCTGAGCCCCATAGTGTGAGTGGACTGCCTTTTCATATGCCCTCTAAAGCAGGACCTTCAGAACACTGACAGGGAGTAAAATGACTTGATATCTCCCAGACCTTCCCAATGTGGAACTGAAGACATTCTGCATAGAAGAATCCTCTGCATGACTGAGCTGTCTTGTTTACTGTAGAGTATCCAGGAATCTTGGCCTCTGCCCAGTGTCCCCAGTCATTGGGAGAACCAAAAATATTCTGATAACTTTGCAAATGCCTCCTGGAAGGATGGTACTGCCTTCAGTGAACTACCATTTTAGAAGATCTGCCTAAATGTCTATGGAAACAACCACCACCACCACCCAACAAAAACATGCAGGTTAAAATAAAGCTAGCACTGATAACAAATCTCATTAAATGATTGGTGGGTCAACATGCAAATGATGTTTAGGTTCCAGATTATTTGTTCATGTGGAACACAAATATTTATACTTTATAATTGTGGTCATAAGATACATTTCCTCTGACCCAGATACTGCAATTGAAACACGTTTGCATATAAGTCTCTGTTAAATAGTCTGCACATACTTAAAAGCTGGTGATTGTATCTGCCTTAAAGTATAAGCTCCCTTAGGGCAGGATCCTTGTTCCTCTTGCTTGTAACTATAATCACAATGCTAAGCACAATGTTTGGCATAAGTAAATATTAAAAAACAACTAAATGAATGAACATAGCAAAGCCTCTAACCTACCATCCGAGACTTCTACAATCAAACGGAAATGAGCTCTGTCACACATGATTGACGATGTTGGAAGAATCAACAGAATATACTGTTTACTTGTATTGAATTACTTTTCTTACTCTGTAGAAAAATATCTTTAAAAAATTCTCTTAGGAAATATCCACTGTTGTCTGTGTATCAACTATGGTCATTTGCTAAATAACAGCTTCCCAATATACTGCTTGCTGATATAACCCAGGATTCAGCCAAGGCCACTCTCATGCTAAGACTTCTGCATTCGGTCAGTCAACAAAATATGACTTACTATCTGATATGGTTTGGCTCTCTGTCTCCACCCAAATCTCATGTTGAATTGTAATTCCCAATGTTGGGGAAGGGACCTGGTGGGAGGTGATTGAATCATGGGGGTGGATTTCTCCCTTCCTGTTCTTGTAATAGTGAGTAAGTTCTCATGAGATCTGATGCTCATAAAGTGTGTGGCGATTCCCCCTTATCACTCTCTCTTTCTCATGCTGGCCATGTGAATACATACCGGCTTCCCCTTCACCTTCTGCCATGATTGTAAGTTTCCTGAGGCCTTTCAGCAATGCTTCCTGTAGAGCCTGTGGAACTGTGAGTCAATTAAGCCTCTTTTCTTCATAAATTACCAAGTCTTGGGTAGTTCTTTATAGCAGTGTGAGAATGGACTTATACATTATTAATATTAGGTATCCCTCTAGATCATGGGGTTGTACCCTTCTGAACAACATAGACATAATTCTTGCCTTCAGAAAGTTATAATGACCTATCTATACGTTTGACCTGAAGTCATTCTAAGTACTTATCTCTTTGATAGGGATTTTTGTGCTCGCTATAATAGATTTCAGAAAGCATATGAATTATTTTAATCTCATGCATAGTAGTTTATGTCTTTGCAGTCTTGCCCTCTACCTGAGGCAGATTACCCAAATAGTTCTTTCAAACAAATATTGTGCTTCCCCAGAGAGAAATTTAAAAAAATTGCCTATCTTCTTCTATGTAAGTATCAATAAAAATGATATATATCTTGAAGCTTCACATTTTCTTTATCAAGGTATGAAAGGTTAACCCTTTAAACCCTGACCCTAATTCTTCTTTCCTGTTTGACTTCTGATGTTTGAACCCTATTATAGTTTAAGCCTAGTGAAAAAAAGGTCAAAAATAAAATTATTATCACATTTCAGAGTAATTTCAGAATTTTCCATATTAGAAAAATTAGCTTTATTAAACTATTCTATCTGTTTTTTAAATGTTTGAATGAATAAATATGACAGTCGTTTGTCACAACCTGACAACATTATTCACATTTGCAAATGAAAAACAAAAGGTAAATCCACATGGTACTTATCCTCTATTTTTGTATCCTATAATTTTTCAATTGGGGAAGATATTTATTCAAGGTGGTATTTTGCTAACAAGCTAATATTATGTAATTCTATAACATTGAGAACTGGAAACCATATTGCAAGCTATTTATTTCCACTCACTAATTTAATAAGAGAAAAAAATCAAAACTAGAAACTATAGTTGGCTCATATACTCAAAAAGCAGGCAATTTCCTTACAACCTGTGTGTGCTCTGGCAATCTCTCTTAGAGGACTCAAGAAAAAAATCCTTCTCTTCTCTGACAGAAATAGAACAATGGCTGGACATATGGCTGCCTAACTACAGTCTTTTTCCCAGCATCCCTTGCAATTATGAATAGCTCTCTGACGATGTTTTCCCTAGTGCAATCAGGTCAGGAGTGGACCTGATGGGCGCTGCTTCCATGTCTGACCACAAATCCCCCACATTTGCTCCTCCATATTCTTTTGCCTTTTGCATATGCTGCAATGATACTAATTAGAGTGACATTGAAAATGACCCCAAGAAGATGAACTCACTGTCCTGGAACACTTGTTGAAGAGCATTAAGCAAACAATACATAAACTTATGCATTCCTTGAGCCACAGAACTACAAAGGAGCTTTTGTTGGGGCAACTTCACAGCTTCACATTCCCTATCCCGTATGTAGTCCTGATGAGCTCTTCAGCAGTCTTATTCCATTTTGTGTCTTCTCACATGCCTTTAAAATAATGTTAATATTATTATAGTTTCTATTTTTTAAATGCTTAGTTTGTATTATACCCAATATTATGCACTTTACCTGAATCATTTATTCACCACGAATCTTATCAGGTAGATCCTATTGTTGTTCTTGTTTTGTAGATGAGAAAATTGAGGCTCCTTGAATAACTTGGTGGATCTGAGATGAGAATCCCCATCTGTCTGACTGAGTGCCTATGCTCTTTGTTCTAAACTGATCATTTTTTGTTTCTCTGGAGTTTCACTAGCTACTTACATAAATTAGCAGTTAGCCTAGAGGTCCAGTATCTAAAAAATCATAAGTAAAAGCATCTTAATAAAAAGCATCCCAATAATATAAATTTTATTTAGGTGCCCAATGGGCATTTGTTCTTATCAGTATAAGTCAGTTGGAGAAGACTGATGTAAATTAGAGATTTACTTTGCAAAAACTAAATTATAGAAATGTCCTGGGTGGTTGCCACCTATCTCAGAAATTTTGCTCGTATTTTCCCCTAGAATAACAAAAAGGATGCATATAGAAATCAACAATGAATAGCGCTTCAATGAATATCCTTGAAGGGGTAATCAAGTTATTTCATATATCTTCATATTAGCAGAAATCCCAAAGAAGTCCTTTTCTCCTTTTTTTTTTTTTTTTTGAGATGAAGTTTCACTCTTGTCATCCAGGCTGGAGTGTAGTGGCGCGATGTCGGCTCACTGCAACCTCTGCCTCCCGGGTTCAAGCAATTCTCCTGCCTCAGCCTCCTGAGTAGCTGGAATTACAGGCACTCGCCAACACACCTGGCTAACTTATTTTTTATTTTTTATTTTTAGTAGAGACGGAGTTTCACCATGTTGGCTAGACTGGTCTCAAACTCTGGAGCTCAGGTGATCCACCCACCTTGGCCTCCCAAAGTGCTGGGATTACAGGCATGAGCCACCTCACCTGGACTCCTTTTCTCCTTTCTTAAGGATACAATGAAAGGATACATCAGGAGATAACTGGTGTTAAAAGAAAAACTTTAGACAAATTAAATTGAACAAAGTTTAATTGAGCAAAGAATGATTTGCAAATTGGGCAGCCCTACCAACCAGAAAACATAGAGACTATGATGCTACATTGTAAGAGAGAATTTATGGACAGAAAAAGGAAAGTGAGGCACAGAAAATGGAAGTGAGGTTCAGAAACAGCTGGACTGGTTACAGTTTAGCATCTGCCTTATTTGAACAAGATTGAACAGTTGGCCGCCTTTGATTGGCTGAAACTCTGTGATTAACGCAAGACTAGGTTACAATCTGTTTACACATCCTGTTAGGTTACAGTTCACTATAATCTAAGTGGAGAAACCTGTAGGCCAAACTTCAAATACGTGAGGAGGCAGCTTTAGGCTAAACTTAACATTGGTGAGAAGAACAAGTCCTCAGATGAAAATGGTATTCGGAGAGTTGCTTGAATGATGGAAGCAACACAAGCTGTCAAAGAGACTTCTAAATAAATTGCAAAACTACATTTGATTACAATAATATGTATCACTGGAGACAGCCTAGAGCATTCATTCACCATAGGTCCTGAATGTTTTTTTCCATTTTATTATTTTAGCCTTTCATGTACTTTCTTCCAAGTGCTTTTACATCTCTCCATTCATCATTTTTCCATTTTTTCCTTCTGCACACATTTACTAAATCATCTGCCAGCCGGCCCATCCAGTACATGGAAAGCTCTACTGCTGAGTTACAAGTGCAATGATGAAAGTATGTACAGATCAAAGTAGCATGAAAGGGGGTGTTCAGAAGAGAGTGGTAAGAAAAGGTGTGTCTGAATGGGTGATTCTTACAATATGACGAAGTAATAGCACAAGTATGTTACCAATTAATGAACATTCAATCTTTGAATAATTATTCCTTAAACAACAGCCATGAGGCTTTTTAAACTTTTAACTGAGATTCAAAGCCGTGGTATTATTATTGTATAATATTCACACAGCTTCTTATAACTCAAGTGTTTTCTCACCATTTGGCCAGGAAACTTCTTCAATACCTTAAATGAAGTATTTTGAGGTCAGAATACCCTACTTAAATTTTAATGTCTTTTACAAGAGAAACTCTTATTTAACAAATACGAAAATTCTGGTTAGTGATTAAACTGCCCTTGCACAAACTGACTTCCAGCACCCTGAATCTCAAATGCTCAGAAAATATACAAAGCTACCCTTCACACTTCATTTTTTTTGAGATGGAGTCTTGCTCTGTCACCCAGGCTGGAGTGAAGTGGCATGATCTCTGCTCACTACAGCCTCCATCTCTGGGGTTCAAGTGATTTTCCTGCCTCAGCCTCCTGTGCAGCTGTGATTACAGGCACGTGCTACCACACCTAGCTAATTTTTGTATTTTTAGTAGAGACAGGTTTCACCATGTTGGCCAGGCTGGTCTTGAACTCCTGACGTCAGGTGATCCACCCACCTTGGCCTCCCAAAGTGCTGGGATTACAGGCATGAGCCACTCGTGCCCAACCTACCCTCCAAGCTTCTTGCAAGAGCACTTCAGAGTTTAAGTGGTAAGGACAGCACTTCTGCTCTCCCACCGTAGGGCTTATCTGAAATATTATACCCAAGCATAGTGGCCCGAACAAAGTCAGTCTCCCCTCTCCCCAAAGAAAAAGAAAACAAAAGATCTCATTTACAATCATTACTTCAAAGTTGTCAAGGGTTAAAAGGTAAAGTTTGACCACCTATAACGATTTGTCTTTCTTTGACGAATAGTGCCTAACCTAAATTTTACTAAAAGAGAAGGCAAAAATGAGAGGAGAAAAATAAATATGTATCTGGCCTTCTGAACTAGTGAGAAAAACAGTCTGTGGTCCTGGTGACCGTACGGCTCAGACCCCAGGTTTTCCCTACCTGCACCATAATGAGAAGCCGTCTTTCCTGAGCATTTCAGTACTGATACTCACGCAGCACCCATTTGCAAAGAACTGCCAGTACAGGGCTGGTGTGCCCCAGAAATCATTTTCCTTCAGTAAAGCTAGCCAGTTAATACGAAGGTCAAGTTATCTTGCTCTGCATAAATCTAGAGAAGGGCTAACATAAAATACAAGGCCCACCAGAATTTGCATAAAACTTCTTTGTGTTCTGTAAATTATTCCTTGTTAAATGAAGTTGGTATTTAAGGGTTAACTATGTTTATCAAGTGAATTAAATCCATCCAGTTTGGACTAATCACATATTCCCTGGCCATTCTTTCCTTCCTTCCTAACATTGAGGTAACAAGAAAGCAAGATATACACAAATTGATTCTGGTTAATAACTTCGTAGTTTAAATTTTTCTGACCTAGAAATCAGCTTCTGCACAGAATTTATGACTCAGCTGTCCAGACACTTCATTAACTAAAACACACTGCATATTTAAAAATTCTATGGAATGAAAGAGTCAAGGACAGATGGGTATTAGGATTTATCCTTTTCCAGAATAATGGCTCAGGAAATGTGCACCATGGAGTGGCAGTAATGGGAAATTGATCAGTCTGAGAGTTAAAAAAGAAGTGTCAATAAGATTCTGACTGCATCGTAAGAGAGAAGTGATGTTTGCAAAACCAAAAGGAAACAAAAAATGAGGAATGTGAATCCCATAATGAGAATTAATGATAAAAAGCAGTTATTTAACGATATACAATACATCTTCAATTAGTGCAGATAACGGGTGTGTATACACTTTCTTCTTAAGTGGTGGTTTAAAATAATGCAAACGTTGGCAATCCAGTACAATTTTGGAAGACAGTGATATCTATAGGGTGTCTGTTCAAATTGTAAGGGCTTTTCCTTACTCCTATTTTCACAGTGTTCCTTTAAATATCAGTGTTTATTTTTTGAGACAGAGTCTCACCTGTCGTCCAGGCTGGAGTCGTGGCACGATTTCGGCTCACTGCAACTTCTGCCTCTGGGGTTCAAGCAATTCTTGTGCCTTGGCCTCCCAAGTAGCTGGGATTACAGGCACGTGACACCATGCCCAGCTAATTTTTTTTCTGTATTTTTAGTAGAGATGGGGTTTCTCCATGTTGGCCAGGCTGGTTTTGAACTCTTGGCCTCAAGTGATTGGTCCGCCTTGGTCTTCCAAAATGCTGGTATTGCAGGCATGAGCCACAGCACCCGGCCTAAGCATCTATGTTTCTAATAGATTATAAGCATTATTTTACTTATAAAATAGTTTGAAAACATGTTACTAATACTTTCAAAATGCAGAGCAAGCCACACATTCTCAAAGCAAGAATTCTGTGCTCTATTTTTTCTCAAATTGCTTTCCATGCTTGACCGAAGGGTAGGGATTTGATAGGGAAAGAGGGGCAAGAACAGGCTTAATGGGGAAATAATGTGAGCAGCTGCTGCATTAGTAAAATCTCTCATTCCCAGATTCCTAATTACAACTCCCAGCAAAGCTTTTACAACATGCAAACCTCCTAGGATCCTGAATGGAAGTTCTCTGCATCTTGAAACTGCTCTTTGAGTAATTCTGATGAACATCTTTAGTTGGACTTACTACAAACTTGAACTGAATTTATGATCCAAAGTCAGGAATTTCTGTTTATTTTGTTTACCATTCCCTAATCAGCTCTCAGATCAATGCCTGGCAGATAGTGGGTGCTCAATAAATATTTATGTAATGAATCATATTTATTGAGTCCATTGATAAGAAAATAATACTAGAAATCAGTTTACTTATATGTGGGAAAAATAAAATAATTTATATTTTTACATGATATAAAAGCTAACTTTGATTTTTCTTGTAATTTCTTTAATTATTCATCAAACTTCGACAAATATCTCGTTAATGGATTGAAATAGAGTAACAGGCCAGGTGTGGTGGCTCATGCTGGTAATTCCAGCACTCTGGGAAGCTGAGGCGGGCGGATCACGAGGTCAAGAGATCAAGACCATCCTGGCCAACATGGTGAAACCCCGTCTCTACTAAAAATACAAAAATTAGCTGGGGTTGGTGGCACGCACCTGTAGTCCCAGCTACTCGGGAGGCTGAGGCAGGAGAATCACTTGAACCCGGGAGGCAGAGGTTGCAGTGAGCCAAGATCATGCCACTGCACTCCAGCCTGGGTGACAGAGCGAAACTCTGTCTCAAAAAAAAAAGAAAGAAAGAAAGAAATAGAGTAATAAAGGCAAATATCTGGTAAGGCTTTTAAGTCTGAGAAGGCAAACAGACAAAAGAAATCCCTTTATTTAAATATATTTTTTGATCCTTCAAACTTATACCTACATCCTGACCAGGGATGAGACAGAAAGAGAGTTGACATTTGTTAATGAGATAAATAAATCTTTATAATAGTATTTTAAACTTTCTATGAGATACAATATTCATATAACCCTTCAACCTGTCTATGTATATTTTGCTTTACACACATATCAAGTATATCTTCTCATAAGTTAAGCAGAGGTAAAATGGAAATAACAATCACTTTGGAGAATATTTGATTGTTCTTAGTCACATTATTTACTCTCTGAGCTTCAGTTTTTTCACTTGTCACATTACACCTGTATCACAGAGTTTTAAAAATTAAATGAAAACTCATGTGAAAGTGCCTGGCACAGAACAAATGCGCAAGAAATATGGCTTTACACTCAGTATCTATTAACACCAAGAATTAACTCATGTTTTAATTACGAAGAGTTACCTTCAACAAACATTAAGGTATACAGATGCCTGGCACCTACCGCTTGTATTTGGGCAGAATGCTCCATTGGTTTTCCACAATGAAATGCTAACATTTGATTAGCATTATGTAGGTAATGTCATTGCAGGATAGAAAACTCAAGGGCATTTCTGAATTGACACTATCTTTCTTTTTCATATGTTAAATCAAAATGGGATTTAATCTAGTTCCTTTACGAATTAAATGAAATGATTAATTACAGTGACACCTGAGGGTCCAGCCCTGTGTAAAAGATATGAATATTTACAATGCACTCACCTTTAGAAGTGGACTATAATTTTAGAAGGAAAGTTGTCAAGATAAGAAACTCCTTCAAGACAAAGTTGTTAGCCATATCATATTATGCTCTATTAAAAATTATAAGAAAAAGTAACAGCTGCATAAATGTCTTCTTTTGAGAAGTGTCTAATGTTACTTTTACTTCTAATTTTTGATAGAGCATAATATGATATGGCTAACATCTTTGCCTTGAAGAACTCTCTTATCTTGAAAACTTTCCTTCTAAAATTATAATCTACTTCTAAAGGGTGGTGGGGGCGGGTAGGAGACGGACAGCATTAGGAGAAATACCTAATGTAGATGACAGGTTGATGGGTGCAGCAAGCCATCATGGCATGTGTATACTTATGGAACAAACCTGCACGCTCTGCACATGTACCCCAGAACTTAAAGTATAATAATAAAAAAAGAAAAAGTAACATTAAACAAAGGCCACTATTGGTCCCTTTGGAAATTTTTTTTTTTTGACAGGAAAAGGTGCATACAACCTTTCCATAGCTTTTGACTTGCATACCGCGTGACCATCACTTTCAACTTTCAACAGGTAGGTACACGTCTACCTGTGTACCTCCTCAACATCTCCCCATGGATATTCAACTTTGTTGAAAGTTATTATGTATATGACTTAAGTTTTTTATCTTCTTCAATTTAACCTTCACGATGCTGCCAGTTATTTTTCTAAATGATGCATCTGATCATGTCACTTTCCTTCTTAAAAACCTTCAATGTCTCCCATGTGGTTGCAGAACAAATATTAAATTCCTTAGCATGTCACAGAAAGACGTTAGCAATCTGGCTCTCCAGTCTGTTTCTCTGACCTCATCACCACTTCCTCCCACTCCCTTTCTTGCCTCTCCATGTCATGTCCTGAAATGCCACATCTGACTCCTCCCTGTCCCCTTATCATTCCAAACCACCCCTTGCTCCATGTCCTTGCACTAAGCCAGTCCCTTCGCCTGCACTGTCTTCCTCCTCAATTTCTGCTTCTTGACCTTCTCATGCAAGGCTCAGGATCCCACCCCAATGGATCATCTCTTCATGGACAACTCCCCAAAAGTCTGTTATTCTCTTCCCTCTCTGAGCTGCTGCAGCTTTAAACACTCAGTAGGGACCAATGACTTCCATGGGTATTTACCAGCCCAGATGTCTTCCAGGCATCATTACTGACTCTTACATCTACCTATGTGCCTCCTCAACATCTCCCCGTGGATATTCAATGAGCACGTAAAATGAAAATCTCTAAAATATACCTTTCCCTCCCAACCTGTCCTCTCGTCTTCCCAGTCTCAGTGAACATCCCCTAGCTTGCTGCCCTGCCCGGCTGACCTGAGTGCTTTTTGGGAACAAGCCGTTCACATGCCTGTCTCAGGGCATGTGCACCTGCTGGTCCCTTACCTGAAAGGTCCCTCCCCCATAGCCACCGGCCGCTCCCTCAACTTCTCCAGGTTGTTGCTCAACCATCACCTCTCAGTGACGCTTTCCCTGAAATTCCTACCTAAAATTGCAATCTGCTATTCCCCCATCACCACCCCATTCCACACACTTTCCCTTTTTGTATTTTTCCCCTAGAATATTTATCACCTACTTGTACACTACATATTTTACTTCTTTTTGTATCCATTCCCCTGACTAGAATGTGACCTGAATAATGTCAGGAACTACATCACTTTTGTTCATCTCTGAAACCTAAGGGCCTAAGAAACTAAAATATTAATAGTTCCTAAGACACACGGTGGTTCAATGAATACATGTTGAATGAAGTAGTTATTAATTTTGCCATTAAAATGGAAGTCACTGGCTGGACACAGTGGCTCATACCTATAATCCCAATGCTTTGGGAGGCCTAGGTGGAAGGATTTCTTGAGACCAAGAGTTTGAGACCAGTCTGAGCAACATAGCAAGACCCTGTCTCTACCAAAAAAAAAAAAAAACTTAAAAAAAAAATTAGCCGGGCATGGTGGTGTGCACCTGTAGTCCGTCCTAGCTGTTTGGAAGACTGAAGTGGGAGGATCACTTGAGCAGGAGTTCAAGGCTGCAGTGAGCTATGATCGCACTGCTGCACTCTAGTCTGGGTGACAGAATGAGACCCTGCCTCAAAAAAAAAAAAAAAAAAAAAAGAAAAAAAAAAGAAAAAGAAAAAGAAAAAGAAGATCACTGAGGCAAGGAGAAACTGAGTTATTAGTTTTGACCAGCTTGAAAAAGGAGTGAAACCTAGTGGTTGATGGTTTGGTTTGGATCTGGGCTGTAATTCACACATACTGGATCTGTGACCCCAGACATATGGCACAAGCTCCTCTCCCTTGGTTTGCTCGTATGTGAAGTGGAAGAACTGAAATACTCATCTGGAAGGTTGGGTGGGATGTATGTGTAAAGTGCCCGCAAGACTCCTGGCACATGTTAAGTGCTCAATCCATGTCAGCTGCTACTATTATTAGAACTAGCTCCCAGGACTCTCATGCTCAGGCCACCTCCATTAACACTGAGCCACCTGTATCTATTGTTCTACTATTAAGGAGCATGAATTGAGCACTGTGTGAGACATTGGGAATTAAAATTCAAATAAGACATGTCCCTTGTCTGAGAGAGTACATATTAGACAATGGAGAAGACCAACAAGTAAAGTGATGAACTGAAAAATATCTAAAATACAATAAAAAGTAATGATGAATGGCATTCATTGGCCCCTTGTTGCTAATGTCAAAAATAATCTGTTTCCTTTGAAAACTCATTTCAATTTTGGGTTTAAGTTATAAATAAAATGAGTAGTAAAATAAAGGTATCCTCATTGCCTAAACAATTATCAGAGTTAATATTTAAATAGAAGACTTCTTTTTTTTCCCCTGAGTAGTTTTACTTTGGGCTCCGAGTCACTGCTTCATTAAATATTATGAGCCACTGAACATATTCTGACATGATTCCCCTGACAATAAATTATAAACCTGGTAGCTGTCCAAAAAGACCTATCTTCAGTAGATGAAGATTAGATGGCGACAGATGTCAGTAAGTATAAGTAAAATGGAAAACAGAAATATTTTTGTGGTTTCATTTCAGCTATCACGAGGTCATGGTTTCTGAGTGAATCTTGTTAGAGATTTTTAAATGACACCAGGCTCTTGTTTTCCCAGTTTTCAGACTTGCAACATGCAATTGTTATTTCTCTTATTTGCATCTTTACTACTAATTAAATGAATTCCACAGAACTTAGGATGGTTGTGATAAATTAAACATGTTCCCAACTTGTTTGCTGCTCTTCCTGTTACGCAAGCCTGTTTCCTCACCCCTTGAGTGGGGCTGGCGGTGTGACTTGCCTTGACCTACAGTAGGATGGGAAGAGCATGACATTTGTGACTTCAGAGGACTGCTGCCTCCACTCTCTCCATCTTGGACTGGTAAGACCATCATAAGAAACCCAACTGTTTTGCTGGATTGGCCATATAGAGGAGAATGTAAACACCCGCAGAGAGTCCTGCTAGCCACCCTACTTGTGAATGAAACAATCTTAGGCCATCTGGCTCCGGTTGAACCTCCAAGTGACTGTGCTCATAGGAGTGACTCCAGGCCAGACCAGCAGAAGACCTACTTAGCTGAGACTATCCCAAACTGAAGAAATACGAGCAATGGTTACTGCTTTAAGTCACTACATTTTGGTGTGGTTTGTTTTATAGTAATAGATAACTGAGATAGCAGCTCTTCAAATAATTTATGTAGTCAATGACAAAAATATTTTCTAACATAAATATGTCCTTTTATTATAAAATTGACTTTGTATCAAGTTTATCCAAAGCTATAGGAACAGAGAAGGAAAAAAAAAAACGTATGCATGCTGCAGAGATAAGGCAAGAATTGTAACATTGCTTTTCCTGCAGTGTGAAAAGGCTTTGGTCACCACAAAGGGGACTGAGAGGACAGTAACGGGAGGAAGAGAATCAAGAGATGAGTAGAAGCTGGAACTATACGATGCATGGGGCTGACTTTACCTCTTGCAGACAATGTTTGATGGATAGGTAGAAATGAGGTTGATGGACAAAATAAAATCAGATTCATTTTTAAAAGAATATCTTACTTTCTTTTAATCCACCGCAGCTCTCATAAACTCTGTCCTTGTGAAGCTAAATATAGCTTCTGATTATGTTTACATATAAATATAAGACGTGGGTTTTTTTGCATATAAGTGCATGGTACATATGTGTGTAGTGTGGGTGCATGTTATAAAAAAAACAAAAGGCTTTAGCTGATTGAATTCAACCAACATTTGACTGACTTCAGTGGTGGAAATCCTTTCATTTATTTGTTCAAAGTCACATGCCTTATGAAAAGTATATGAGGGTTGATGGGGTTTAGGACAGTCTACCCTAACATATGGCACCTTGGCATCTGAGAACATAGCAGAAGCAGAAAGTCACTCTCTGACCTTCTCCTGCCCTGTTCCCCTGAAGCAGGCCATCAAAACCTAGAAAGGATGCCCTAACCTTCCTTGAAGAAGGTCATAAGACCCTCATGTGAGAAATGTCCACCCTATACCTGGAAGTATTCAGGAACGCCAGGAATATCCCTATCTTTGAAGACACAGGGACACAGAGAAGAATCTGAACAAACAGGCTTTGCTAAGTTCTCCCAAGTTTATTACTATTAGATTATGCTTTTTTTGTCCTCTAACCATATTTCTCCATGAGTATCTTCACCAGATCAAAACATAAAAATATCTAAGTTTACCTGCTGCTTTGAATCTCCTCTTCTGAAGGTTCCCATGTCATATAAAATTTATATGAAATAAATACATATGCTTTTCTCCTGTTAATTTTTGTTATGGGAACCTTAGCCATGAACCTAACAATGGGAAAGATAGCTCTTTCCCCTCTGAGACTTACAGAACACAGACAAAGAGTTAGGAAGACTAGTATATGAATACATAAGGAAAAAATACCAGGGAATGATGAGATTAAGCTAAGAGAATCATTCAAAAAATACCATTGATACATTTATTTAATATCTAAATTTAACCTTCACCCTCACCTCAGTGCATGTTTATAAAAACACCCTCCAACAGTGTAAAAGCATTCTTATTTCTCCACAGCCTCACCAGCATTTGTTTTTTCCTGACTTTTTAATAATCGCCCTTCTAACTGGTGTGAAATGGTATCTCATTATGGTTTTGATTTGCATTTCGCTAATGACCAGTGATAATGAGCTTTTTTCATGTTTATTGGCCACATAAATGTCTTCTTTGAACACATGGACACAGGGAGGGGAGCATCACACACTTGGGCCTGTCAGGGGGTGAGGGGCAAGGGGAGGGAGAGCATTAGGACAAATACCTAATGCATGCAGGGCTTAAAACCTAGATGATGGGTTGATCGGTGCAGCAAACCACCATGGCACATGTATACCTATGTAACAAGCCTGCACGTTCTGCACATGTATCCCAGAACTTAAAGAAAAAAAAAAACCACCCTCAATGTCAACTTTCTTGGTAGTCAGTGGTACCTCAGAGCAAGCTAGAACATCTTGTCAAAATTTCAGATTTCCAGCTTTGAAAATCTGTAAACAATAGTGAGAAAAAAAAAAGAAACAATTTTTCTTCCAAATTTTATGCAAAGCACTTCACGGTATTATTTTGAAGCAATTTCCAGTTGTTGTATTAAAAGACAATAGTTTTCTTAACTTCAGTTTTAACTGTAAAATTCTTGGACTAGAGTATATCCTATTCCGTTGTATTATTTCTGCCCAATAGGAAGTGGAAGGTTGTATGACAGGAAGTGGAAGGTTGTATGACAGGAAGTGACCTTGCAAGAGATACCCAAATATCTCACAGCAGGGTAACTCTTCTCTACTACACTATCCCCTCATGCTCCACCCCTTTTGGAATCTATTCCTTCTCTATCACTCTTCTGACTCCAAAGCTAGCATATGCATTCCATTAATGCCCAGAGAGAGATGAAGCCCCATACAAACACACATCTCCCTGGACACCTCTCCTGTGCAAAGCATCTCATGTTCGTGTCTTAAGCACTAGGACAAAGAACAAAGTCAACTGGCCTCCAGATGTGAAGGGCCCATCAGCCAGCAGAGTGCAAGAACAATCCAAATGTATCAATATCTTTAGAAAACATTAGATTGCTAAAGAAAACAGACACTAAGTCTTTTGATATCATTTTCATTATTTTCCCTGAGATGACTGGGACATGCCCCATTTTTCTAGTTTAGTTTTTAAAACTAGCAAAACATTAAAAAAAAAATCCTCCAGCATGTGACTGAGGCTATCTGAGCATATAATACGATGCTGAACTCTTCAGAATAATACAATGTCCCAGCCTTATTAGCATTATAGCTGAGTTAGCCAGTTCCAAGAGTGGGTGGGAAACCTCAGTATTCACCATCTTCATTCAGTGTGGACTCTAAAATATTCTACGCACAAGGGGAGTTTCTTGCCTGAAAATGAATGTGATTTAGCTCACCTGACTAAAGTTTCAACAGCTATGCAATGTTATGGTGAAAGATTGCTGCAGTTGGCTTTGATTGGTACTGTTTTGGAAAAGAAATACTTTTGGATTTTTTTCTTTTGTGAAAAGGGCAATACAAGTGTAAGTCCTGAGCTCCTATTAATAGCCCCGGCAAGCACAGCAGCAAAACTCAGTGCATGCCCGTTTTCAAGTGCTTCTGAAATGACAGGAGCTTTCAAACAGAACTGGGCAATGCATTTTTCCAATGCCAATGCATGCTGGTGCTGCTGTGCCCTGTCAAATACATAATATTGAAAAGCCCAACTGGGCACCTATTTGCTACAATGTTCTTGGCTGTTCTCCACCCATCATGTCCCAAGATAGAATCTGCTCAGAACAGCAACTCTGTTCTTAGGTGCTTCCTGTAGTGAGCATTAACAAAACGATTGAAATCTATGGAAACAGGTAGGGACGATGTAAGGGGAGGCAGGTGCAAAAATCTTCCAGGAGCAACCTCAGAAGAGATATTGCATGCACTGTGCCTTAGCAGTGACCAAGGCTTCTACCTCAAAAACAAACCTTAAATGAAAGCTGTCTTTTCCAGGACCATGCATGGAGAGGAATAGATACAGGACTCTCTGAATAATATCTGCTATTTACACAGTGCTTTTCTAAGTGAACAGAATACACTCTACAAGCCCTCTTGAGGGAGCAGAAAAAGTGTTCAAATGGTTAATTTTAAGTTTCTGTTCCCAGTGCACAAGATCTGGGAAAAGAAAGTCATGGGTCTGTATAGACTGGGCTTTTGTCCCTCTCTCATTTCATTCCTCATGTTCAATCATTTATTTGACATGTTTCTAATATCAAATTTACAACATGCATCTACTCAAGAGGACAGTCACACTTTCCTAGGGAAGCACTGTTTTCTGACTGCCCTGAAATTAATGTGTTCTATTCTCCCATTTGTACATGCTTCCTGGACTCCCAAACCCCCCCTGAGCCTGGCCTTGGGATAATAATCCCCATTTGGCTGGCTGGAACCACCTGATGACCCGACTGTTAAGCTCCAGTACTGACTGCAAGC
This sequence comes from Homo sapiens, assembly GCF_000001405.40. NCBI lineage: Eukaryota > Metazoa > Chordata > Mammalia > Primates > Hominidae > Homo > Homo sapiens. The sequence goes on along the minus strand of NC_000001.11, from coordinate 239,738,381 downwards.
CAGGGCTCTCCCGACAGGGCACTGGTGCTGAAGAGCTGAGCAATGTAGCTTCTCTCAAATTCTCTACAGAGGTGCATCCTACAATTATAGATGACTTCAGAGAAGGAATGAAGGGCATGGGGTTATCAGGGAGGAGGACTGGGTGAGAGAAGGAACCAAAAGCTTGTTACCAAAATGCAGATACAAGGTACCATTAGAGAAAATTTAGTCATATTGATGTTTCACTGCAAACCTGCCATAGTGGAGGAATTGTGAACTCAAACCCCATATTCGTTTTTAAAGTTGTTCTCTTAATTCTTGCTGCTAATGAAACAATTAGATAAATTAAAGAAGCTTCATCCACAAGTAATTATTTCAGTTTTTTGTTGTTGTTGTTGTTGTTATTTTTGTCATTCTCATTCCCAGGTTGGTATTATAAGGAAGAAACAAAAGTAGTCAATCATATTTTCTGCCAGTGGTTTCTGGGCATTTTTTGTTTGTTTGTTTTTTAATTGCCCGTATGTGTTCTGAAAGATCAGCTTGCTTCAGTTGTTGACTCTCTGAGATCTAATCAGATATCTTAACAGATAACTTTGTAATTCATAAGTATTGTCTCCTAGGCAGGATGTCTTACGAAGAGTTTTCTGGGTCACCTACTCCTTGAAACAAATAAAAACAACACAGAGAGCAGCATAACATTACAAACAATGCCATCCCAACTCTGGAAAACATTGCTCTACCCTAGGTCAACTCTCAGTGCCCTAAGCAGCCAAGAACCAGTGATACAAATGTGCAAGAAGAAAGTGGTTATAATTTAAGGTTGAGGAGCAGAGGATGTTGTAAAAGCAAGTGAGGTCAAAGTTAAGAGTCAGGGCTTTAGTTTTGAACTATGTGCTTAGGACTTTGCTGAATGGCATTTGAAACATCTGAACACCTCTAAACGGGGTTAGTTGTGTGTTTATTTTTTCTGAATTTAAATGATTTGTGGCAACCATCCCAACATTATCGCACTTTCTATGACTGAGGATAGATTTAGTGGTTAGTTTTAAGTTCCATTATTTGCTCAGATTTTCTCTGGAAAATTTATTTTGTCAAAACAGATCATTGCAAAGTGGCTTTACTCACTACTCATGGTGATAAAGGGCAATAATTGCATTGTAAAAGTTATTTGGTCATTTTATTAAAATGTGGGATGAAAATTCTTCTAATAAATATGCCCTGATGACCAATGGTTTTAAGTAGATTTAGGCACATCATTGTAATTATTTATACTTTAGTGTAATATATTAGAGAAGTAATATGAATGAAGAAAATGTTGATATTAAGTCACATGTATACTTACTTAGCCAGAGTTCATTTTGGGGATAGAAAAGTCCCTTAAATGAACCAATAACAATAAACTATTTTAAAATACTTCTGCAGTAGCAGTAATTCTATACAAATATAAATGTGTTATATAAGTATATTCATACATTTTCAGCAAGACTGAACTTTCATGCAAAACTAAGAGTAGAGAATCGATTTCTATGATTACCCAATGGAATATTTTAAGTGAATATTTTAAGTTGCAGCCATTTTTATAGGCAAATTCTTTACAAGTTACTTAATTACACTTTATTATATATGAGAAAACAAAACATTAACAACACAATGCTGCCAGTGCAATGCCAGAAAGGTAAATTGTATTGGCATAGCTGGTTATGGAACTAACATTAGCAAGGTCAGCAATTTATCTTGGAAGAATTTCAGAAGCAAAATCCTGAGATGGAGTTTCAAACGTAGGCTATAAAGCAAAATCTGTAGCACTGTATATTAATCTGAGAGTCATTAGGTTCAACATCCGATAATACATCCTGAAATCAACCCTTCATTTCCACACCAATGCCCCTATGTATAATGCATGTGAAGATGGTATCATTTATTTTAAGGAAGTATTAAAGTAGACATGAAGGTAAATAATGATGTATCAAGTTTTAAATTATGTTGTTTTTATTATATTATTATTATTATTATTTGGTTATTGATTGTGGCTTTAACTACACCTTGTTTTTTAGCTAATAATAACAAACTATTTGTCCTCAAAGAGGCTGCTTTAAGTAAGGGATGGCAGGGACAATTCAAATCCTGGTTCTATTCGTCTGGCTCATAGGCTTTGGGGCAGCTTATTTACTTACTGCCAGATCCTTAAATGACATATCTGCCTGCAATAATGAATAATATCTTCCTCATGGGACTTTTGTGAAGATTAAAGGTGTTAATATTTATAAAGCACTTTAGTTACATGTGCACATAGGGAAAGTGGAGTAGTCGATACTAGCTGCTATTATTCAGAGGGGAATATAATAACATTAGGGTGGGTTTAGTTCTCCTTACCCTTCAGACTTAAATCTTATGGAGGGTTGGGGATAGGCATTGAAGTTGGGGATCAAGTTGTCATTAATTTATTTTCCATAGTGTCTGCAGAAGGATTCCTTATTGATGAAGGGAGTGGCCAGAAAACATCATGGCACATCCACGTATCCCCAAGGAAACCCTCCTGTATGGTCTCAGCTGCTAAATTACTTTAGCATAGCTGCTTTTCTGATGTGTTTGTGTTGTTGTAAATTGTATAATAATGTAAATTTATCAGCATTTTTCGGAGCAGGGAAGATTTTTCTCCAGGTGGCACATTGTCAAGGACAAAAGAAGAAAACTAATTGAACCAAAATCAACCCTCAAGAGGCAATGATCAAATAACATACTACAGATGGTCAGCAAAAGAAATGGAGCAGCAACTTATACCTCTAGCCAAAAATAGTGCTTCGTTTATTATTTGTTGTTTTTATTCATCAGTTTTATTTGATTCAAAATTAATGAATCCATGTTTGGGAAAAAAAGTTTGACAGTGGCCTGTTTTGAGAAAAACATTCAAAACGATTTCAGGATTTAAAATTTGGCTTACCATTTTAAAAGAATAAATAATAAAAGCAGGAAAAAAAATTGCCTCTCATTTAGTACTTGTCAGCTACATGAAACATCTGCAGTTGCAGCAGATAGACAGTAGCAGAGGCAAGTGCTGAACACGACTATCTGGCAGTACAGGAAATGGACACAGGCAATGTGCTCTGAATACCCTATTTATGCATCAAGCAAATCAGCATAATCTATAATGTGGGGATAGAAACTATTTGACTTTTGCTTTGAAAGAAGACACATGCAGGACTACTAGGGTAATACTTCAGTCACACTGATCTCCATGAGGCTGGCATTAGAGATGTTAACCTCAGGTTACATTGATTTTATGATAAAGTTTTCTCTTTCTGACTCTGAGCAGAATATTGTCTATTTTCTCCTCACAAAAATCGGCAAATCAAAAGTATGATCATTCTTTTCCTGTTCTAACATAACCACCCTTTTGGAGCAAATGCAAATGCCCTATATTTCAAATGAATACATGCTATGGAATAGGAAGACTTTTGAAAAATTTAAATAATGGAAAATTTCCAACATACACAAATGTAGAGACATAACGAATTCCATCACCCAGTTTCAATAATCGTCAACATATGGCAATCTTATTTCATCTAAGTTCCCACCTACTTCTCTCCATCTTGGGTTGTTTTGAAGCAAATCCCAGATATCTCATCATTTTGCCTGCATACTCATCAGTATATGTTGGTAAAAGACACTTAAAAGAATGTATAATCACTATACCAGTATCCCAACTTAAAAAATAAGAAAAATTCTCAATGCGCACTTATAACATGTATCTGATTATATAATAAATGTTATCATCAGTTATTCACTGGACTTCTTCAAAAAGGATAACATTTCCTTCTTCAATTACTTGGTACAGCCTGAAGTACAGCTTGCAAAGGAAAAGCAGAAAAAAAATGCTTGATTCTTTTATTTGACAGTTTTCAGAATGTTGGGTTGTGCTCTGCCCCTAGCATTCTGTAAAAGTTACCAATTTTCTTGTATTATTATTATAAATCCATGGAATTTTAACACACTTAATATGTTTCAATTAATTGTGAATATTCTTTCTGATTTTCGAAATGTGCCACTGGTCACTAGTGAAAGTCCTTTCAAGTTGGCTCTGAGTCCTTTCGACATGACCTCAGCAGTCTCTGGATTCTTAAGTATCTGGTGCAACAAGATACTCTACACTCATCCTGAACATTTCCTGCCCCAGACCTGGAGTCTGTCATCTCTCCAAGAAGAATTATTTCCCTTAAGTGGTAAATTACTGTTAAAAAGCTACATGTGAATGCTTGAAGTAAGTGCTCATTGCTATTAGGTTGGTTGCCTGTTATGAATGAAAGTTTTGCTTTCTGTAGCTAGAGATGGAGGTAATAGTCACATCATGGATAAAAATAACTGACCATTGACTAGCACCCTCCACATTGCGTAAAAGTGTGGAAAGTCTTCAGGGTGTAGTAGTTTCTGTCCTTTAAAAAATTCTTAAGTAAAAATAAAATGTGGATTCACAACATCTAGAATCAAGTTTAATATGTTACATTAAGAAGCATAAAAGATGATATATTTTATATTAAATTAAATAAGGTACATAAAAGGTTCAAGCAATGTCTGATTGACAACAGATGCTAAATAGGTGCTTAATAAGTGGTTACTTCCTTTTCTTTTTCTTTTCCCCACATAAGAAAAATGTAGTGAAGCCATACATTAAGCAACAGCTGAGCTTACTTTAATTCAAAATTAAATTCCCTATTTAATCTTCATCCTTTAATTTTATCTCAAAATATTTTTTCTCTCAAATGAATATAAACTTTCTTACAGAAGATGCTTTGTAATGAAACTAAAATACCTCTATATGCATCTCCAGAGCCTGATAGCAAAATAAACACTTACTAATAGCCTCTAGTTTGTGACTACCTAACTTGAGAATAACTAAATAAGTATAGTAATGAAATATTTCTCAGATGCTTACTAGATGTCAGGTATATATCTACAGATAACCACTTGCCCCTTATTAATGGAACTTTTTGCTCAATTATCTCCCTTCGTTCATAAGTCTTTGAGACAACGGGGGAAATCTCTGGTATCTTCATTTTGAATTTTCTCTGCGTCCTTCTTCCCCCTCTTTCAACTATGCGTACTTTGGGGGAGCTCTCCAGATGCTGGAGCCACACCCAGTCTCCACTTTGGCTCATGGCTGGTTGAGGTAGTTGGTGGATCCATTTGGGATTAGAGGGCATACAGAGGTTAATAACTCCAACAGGTGGAGAGCTCAGGGAACATTTAGTCAACCTGATTAAATGACCAAGAAACAGAAGACAAAAGGATAATGTGCCGTAACATCTTTACTGAATAAAATGGCATTTAGGCAATGGAGACGTCTGGAGGGAAAATAGCACTTCTAAGAATCTAAGTAATGTTAAAATAGTTGATCCATTTTTGGGTAAAGTTAATCCAATTAAACAAACAAAATGAGATATTAGGTATACTTATCTAAATGAGATATTAGATATACTTATCTAAATGAGATATTAGGTATACTTATCTAAGTGATATTAGATATACTTATCTAAATGAGATATTAGGTATACTTATCTAAGTGAGATATTAGGTATACTTATCTAAGTGAGATATTAGGTATCTTATCTAAGTGAGATATTAGGTATACTTATCTAAGTGAGATATTAGGTATACTTATCTAAGTGAGATATTAGGTATACTTATCTAAATGAGATATTAGGTATACTTATCTAAGTGAGATATTAGGTATACTTATCTAAGTGAGATATTAGGTATACTTATCTAAGTGAGATATTAGGTATACTTATCTAAGTGAGATATTAGGTATACTTATCTAAGTGAGATATTAGGTATACTTATCTAAATGAGATATTAGGTATACTTATCTAAGTGAGATATTAGGTATACTTATCTAAGTGAGATATTAGGTATACTTATCTAAGTGAGATATTAGGTATACTTATCTAAGTGAGATATTAGGTATACTTATCTAAGTGAGATATTAGGTATACTTATCTAAGTGAGATATTAGGTATACTTATCTAAGTGAGATATTAGGTATACTTATCTAAGTGAGATATTAGGTATACTTATCTAAGTGAGATATTAGGTATACTTATCTAAGTGAGATATTAGGTATACTTATCTAAATGAGATATTAGGTATACTTATCTAAGTGAGATATTAGGTATACTTATCTAAGTGAGATGTTAGGCATACTTATCTAAATGAGATATTAGGTATACTTATCTAAATGTTATGTGTTTTAGAGACTTCATTTGAATCATTGAACTTCATCAGTGTATGGATAGGAGGCAGACCAAGTGCAAATCTGTGGAGTAAATCCCTCAAGCTGTGTCCCATAGGTATGGGGCTGGGCATTTTTAGACCCAGAGATTTTTCTGAGTTAGAACTAAAATGGAAAGGTTGCTAAATAATTGTGTTTGGACCTAATTGTTTACATTTACTCTCTGTAATTCAGAACCAGAATTCCCATAATGTAGCTTAATATGTATTTAAAAATATAAAATGCAAGCACATATGGTTAATTAGTGGTTAATTTTTTAGCTTTGGACTAACATTTCTCTGCCAAACCCTGGAGGCAACAGTAAAGATTTTTTCTGTTTTTGAGGAAACAATCTTAATGGCTATATATAGATCATAAATGGTTGGCAAAAGATGCATTTCAATCTAAACCAAAATTAAAATGTTTTAAATTATCTAACTGCTGCCAGATATTCAAAAGGGGAAGATTTGTACTAGAAAGTGTTCACAGTTTCCATATACATTCACACTCACTCCACTCTACCCTCCCTTCTCTACTGTTCTCTCTCCCCCTGCTCTCTCCCTCTTCCTTTCTCTTGTTCTTGCTCACATGAAAAAAATGCATACAAATTATCACAATACTAACGGCATATAAGAATAGTGACAGAGCTGGTCACTGAATTCTTCAGTTATGAACAGATCATCAACTGGAATCTTCCTTAATCTTCACCTTAAATAAGACAGCGTGTATTAGAACAGCCAATATCACTTGCAATATAATTCTTCTTCCTCTATTCATCTCTTTGATGTAGATATCCTCAGGCCGGCTATGTTCTCCTCCTCTACCCACTGTCTGAGTGCTCTCAGTCAGACTCATGGATTCCACTGACATCCATATAGTGATGACTCCTGGATCTCTATTTTTAGCCTCTGCGTTTTTCTTACCTAACAGAAGTGCACATTCAACTGTCTACTGGCTATCTGCACGTGACAGTCCACAGCCTTTAAAGCTCCAAAATGTTACAGTAAATGTATCAACACCCTTCTTCCCCAATTGTCTTCTTTTTTAACTCTCTCATTCAAAGAATGGCACCACTATCTTCCAACCACCTAAGTAAAAAACTTAAAGTTGTATTTTTTCTTATTCTCCTTCATCCTTTGCATTCAGTTGGCTACCAAGTCCTATAAATTCAACCTCCTTAACACTGCTGGAATCCATTTCTTCATTTTCCTCCCTGATGTTACTGCTTTAGTACAGTGTTCATCAGTGCTCTCTCAGATCATTGCAGTAGAGTCCTAAATTATCTCTCTCTCTCTCTGCCTTCTTTCCCAATGTCCCCATGAACCTCTCTGCTTCTGCTAGAGTTATCTTTCTAAAGTAATTACCTTTCAAAATTTCTAAAATAGAAATCTTTCCATTGTACCCCCACTGTCAGGACCCTGTGAAAATTGTGCTGCTCTTCATCTCCACTCCAGACTCAGCGTCCATGGTTCACTCATGCAACCTAAACTTGCAGCTCCTAGAACATGGCTTGTTCTCTTATCATCAGTTTCTCTGTACAGACTGTTCCCTCTACAAGAATGCCCACTCTCTCCTTATCAGCCTAACATGTACTTGAACTTCCAGATTCAGATAAACTTTGAGGCTCTGATAGAATATTTCCCTTAAGAAGCCTTCCTTCTCCCACTTCTGTGAGTTAGAAACCCTGCCTCTGTATTCCCATAGCCTGCTACAGACCTCCACGACATCACATGAAAGGTAGGAGCTGCATTGCTTGTTCTACCTCCTCTATTAAACTGTGGGGATGGAGTCTGTGTCTTTGACACTGCATTCCCCATATCTAAAACTCTAGTTCTCAAAATTTTTGCTCTGAAGTTCTCTTTACTCTGTTAAAATTATTAAGTATACCAAAGCAGTTTTGTTTATGGGGATATATATCTATAACATATTAAAAGTTAAAATTGAGGATAAAAAACAATTTTAAAATAAAAAACCAACTATACAGTTTTTAAATTTACATATTTTTGTTGAAAACTGGCTATATTTTCTAACTTAAACATTTATTGATAGGAGTGGTATTGCCTTACATCTTTGTAAATCACATTAAAGCCTGGCTTAATAAAAGATGGCTAGATTCTTGTGTCTTTGTTTCCAAGTTCAAAGATAGTTGTTTTGGTTGATACAAATGAAGAAAATTCAGATACACAGTTAGAAAGAGAGGAGTATTTTAGTATTGTTTTCAGATAATTGTGGATATTTTACTTTAAAAATACACCCAAACTCGAAAGTAGTAGTTTGTTAAATATGTGATGCAAGGTGGAATCTAAAACCATTTCTATAAAGTTTTCACACTATGTTATATTACAGCCTGTTGTATTTTGAATGAATCTTTTACCAATGCATGATTTGTAACATCACGCATTTTTAAGGCATTTGTTCACTGAGTTATACAGATCATCCAAATTTTGTCACTTTCATTATATCTAATACAAAAAAGTCACATTAATTAATCTCACCATCAATCTCACCAGAAAACTCTGTAACTATTATGAAGTTGTCCAGCTCATTGTGGTGGGCACAATTTTTCCACAGTTCAAATTTTGCTTGAAAGCTCAAAATTTTATCACTGACAACAAGTAATGTCAACTGTTTTCCTTGTAGTGACAGCTCACTTGATTCATTTTTGAGAAAATGTCTGCAAAATATCCAAGTCTGAATAACCAGAGTTCATCTATTAGTCCTTTCAAGTACAAATGACGTTCCCTGAAAGAAGTACGCAGTTCAGCTTCCATCTGAAACAAGGCCACTGGGATTTTTTTTCCCTTCATCACAACCATTATGCTTCAGTATGAAACAGACATTTATGTGTACATCACACTGTGCACACAGAATATTAAAAAAATGTTCACTCAACGATGAAGATTTAACAAAATTATTATTATTTTTTACTGCTCCATCCCAACATTTTAAAGTAAAACCTGTGTGATGAGCAAGGGGTAGTGAATAACATAATGGCTAATACAGTTTTGTGTCCCTGCCTTGGTTTGTACTTAAGGACCAGCAGTTTTACTTACAACTGCTTTTACACCAGCAATGCAAATGTCAACACAGTGAGTTCTTATGAGTATTAGTATTGTAATAAAGTTCATGTCATTCTCAGTGTTCTCATCTCATGCACTCCCTGAAAGGGTCTGGAAAACACACAGCTTGGCAACACACTACACTTAGAGAACTGCTGATCAAGGCAATGCTTTAAACACGATGGGCACTCAAGACATTTTGAATGAAGGATTGAATGAATGAATCCACATTGGCTTAATCTATAGTAATAATAAAAGTGCTTGTGATGATTCAAAGGGCGTATATGTGAGTGTGTGTGTGTGCACACAATGGAGACTCTTTGACAAAAAGGTTTAGTAGATCCTTGAGTAGAAGTTAGAATGAAAAGCAGAGACCTTGTGACAAAAATTCCATTCTGGTTTAAGAATGAATTAATGTTATTCCATTAACTCCACCACCTTCAGCTACATGAGAAGATCATAACGTTTTTGCTGATTTTTATAGAGACTTGTCAATTGTTATTGTTAATATTTTGAAGAGCAATTTATCCATATAATACTTAACTGAACTACCATTGTGAACTTACAATATATAGGCAAACAAAGATTCAAAGATTTGAAAGACTCACTTGACCAAACTAAGTAGGAATATTGATGGATGGACATGGTGTCTTCTAGACGATTCCTCTCCTAATCACTGTACCTACATTACTTCCTTTATCAGAGAGTTGGTTACAGAATAGGCATGTTTTCATCTTATACAAAGCAGGTATTTTTGCCCGAACTCCTAAGGTCTCATTCTGTTATATCCTAATCTCATTCAAAGGGGATATAACCATGAAAACTAACGTTAAATTCAGCTTCTGTCAGTGGGAATGTTGTGAAGTAAGTGTTTGTTAAGAGTGAAGCATATTTGCTCCACTTCCAGAAAACCCTTAACAACAATGGGCAAAAAGGTAGTTGATTCTACAATCCTACCAACATTGTGTGAAAAGGAATAGATTATGTAAACTAGCAAACCTTTAACAACAATGGGCAAAAAGGTAGTTTACAATCCTACCAGCATTGTGTGAAAAGGAGTTGATTATGTAAATTAGCTTGATTGGGGTGTCCCATCTTTAAGAAAAGTATTTATTTTCTAGTAGTCTTACAGCACGACAAGTGTAATCTTGGAAAAGCTCAACAAGGAAACTTCAAGGGCAGCAAGAATTTCAGAAAAAAAATAGTGAGTAAGGATAGTTGGTGTCATGTGCTTAAGGTGTCCTTGTCCCAGGATTGTCTAATTGTGCAGGTACCAGCTAAACAGATGTGGGGTGATTAACCATCCACTCCAAGGAACACATGTGGGAAGGTATCCGTCAGTGGAGCAGGTTTGCAAATACACGACACACGAGACTCGCCACTGGCCTTAATGAAGCCTGCATCATTCGGTGCTGAAAGCAAAAGGTGAGGTCTTTTTTTTTTTACCCTCTCTGACTTCTGTAATGCTTCTCTCATGTTCTCTTTAAAAAAGTCATTTTGACCCTTGCTGATCTGTGGAGGCAGAATGCCCAATTAAATTACTTTCATTATAAAAGCACATACAGCCAAATACTTTTTATAGCACACGATTTCAAATTCATAATAAGCATGAAGGAAAAGTAGCACAAAAGCTTTTTAAAATTATATAGAGACTTTTAAACAATTGGTGCTACCAAAAAAGGTCAGAGAGAGTGCCTCACTGTGGAAGGTCCAATTGGCCAAGAAATTATGAAACTGACATTTTAAAATAAGAATACATTTTAATATTCATTCTTTTGGGGTCAGGTGCAGGCTACTCAGAATAACAATTCTGTCCAAATAGAAAATGAAAACCTTCCAGGAATAATTACCTTCAAAGCAGACTATAGCTCTCCATTTAAGAACTGCATTGAAACATGACAGTAACTTACATTTACTGGGTAGGGACTATGTGTCAAGCACATTGTTAGTGCTTTATTTTGATTTTTTTTGATCTTCACAATAACTGTATGGGATAAGTACTATTATTATCACTATAATACACATGAGAAAATTGTGGCTTAGAGCTTAAATGATTTTTGTAAATTTTTGGAGACAGTGAGTGGTGGACCCAGTAACCAAACTAAAAGTTACTAAGTCTAGAAGCTAGTTCTATTGTTAATGGTAGCTTTCCAGAACATTTACGATTTTAAGTTGTATAATTATTAATTTAGGCAAAGAGTATTCAATAAGTACTGCTATCAGGTACTGCTAGATGCTGGGATTGCAATAATGAAATTGTTCTTATTTATTAACAAACACACAGTCTCATCAACACACCATTTCTTGAAGCTGGTTCAATAAGACATTTATTGTCATGTCTAATTTCACAGAAGAAAAGCTAAGCCAGCGGTTGTTAAGGATTTTACATTCAGCAGAAAACAGAATTATTGCCCATTGATTTCAGTCAAGTGTTCTGTACACTAGATATCACCATGCATCTTATAGAGAATCAGACAAGTAATTGCTGAAGCCATTAAAGTCAGTTCTGAGCTCCACAAAACCTGATACAACTACCTGATAACCTCTTTAGGTATAGGAACTACTTTAATATGTTATGCTTAAACCCAGCCACGAGGCAAATGAACATCAGGTTTTTTCAAAGGTAAATCAAGATTAGTCACAATGTAAGAAAATATGGCGGAAAAAAAACTAAATGATCAATAAATAGAATCTAGTTTTGTAACATATGGCACATTAACCTCATAAAATATTATCCATCTACTATTATTTGATTCAAAAGTTCGGTACACATAGGAGTATTATTTTAATGCATGCGTAAAACCTACACAGACTCACAATGCACCAAAATTACATGTTAATGTAACAGCATCTAGACACAAAATAATTAGAATAGCACATGATCTACAATGTGCTAGAACAAAGGTCAATACGCTTTTCAGAAAAGGGCCTTGGCGGTTCCAAAGGCATTGTTGGAATTACTCAGCTCTGCTGTTGTAGTGCACAAGCAGTCATAGACAACATGTAAATGAACGTGCATGGCTGTGTTCCAATACAAATTCTCTTATAAAAACAGGGAATGGGCCAGATTTCACCTGAGGGTTGTGATTTTTCTGATCTCTGTGCTATAATATACAAGTATGGGGCAGTTTAAAGACATTTACACTGGTGTTTTTGTAATATTTTATAATACTGCTTAATAAATTTTAAGAAAAGTCTGTACATCTGCATAATCAAGTTATACATTTGCTCACTTGAATTCAAGCCATTATTTTTACCCAGTCTAAATTATTTTTACCCAAAGCTACCCAAGAAGGTAGCTTTACCTTTTTGAAATAGTTTGCAAATTCCAGACAGACGTCAGGGCAAAGAGTCTTTATAAAGCGTTTAGCTAGACAGCAAAGCTTTCATTACTGTTGGTTAAACAATCCAAAATCCATGACCCGGCCACCAATCAATCAACACGCATTTACAGATTGATGACAAAGTATTCTGCCCTGTTCTAAGCACACTTGTCAGACAGTCTCTCTCCTGTCAAGCAGTTTAAAATCTAATAAATGAGGCAATTATGTTATCTTTATTTATTCAGTGAGACATTTTGGCATAGAAACATCAGGCATGTCCAGCAACTAGAAACAAAAAGTATATCCTGCTGCATACGGTGGAATTACTCTAGTAGATAAAAATATCTTTTCATCGATTTTCAGGAGAAATATATTCAATTTTAATTTGTATATGCAGGCTTTTTACCTGATCTGTTTACTCATTGATAACATAGTATTTTGGGAAAAAATGGTCAGTAATTCACCAATTACAGGTATTTATGTTTCCCAAGCTTCAATTTAACCCTTCTAATGGTAGAAAAAGGACATAATCATTTCATAAAGTATGCTAGCGTTATACTACCAAAACAAAGAAAAATACACTGCCATTATCCTCCAGACAAGAATAAAGCTTACTAAATACTTTTCTAAGTCTAAAATAGGTTGTTGGAGAAGGAAGCAGCAGCTAGATCAAAGATAACACCATCCTAAGGTGCTTAGTCTGTATTGCTAAGTAATAGGAAGAGCAACACAGCTGAGAGTGCACACAGGCATAGCAGAGGGGAATAGTAACAAGATTAAATATAACAATAAGTAACTGGGCTGGGCATGGTGGGGTGGGTCATGACTGTAATTTCAGCACCTTGTGAGGCTGAGGCAGGAGGACCGCTTGAACTGGGAAGTTCAAGACCATATTTAGATGGTAAAACCATAAGGCCTTGGTAGTTGATTAGATGTGGGGGCCAGGGAAGAAAGAGCTGGCAATTAGAATTTCTAGCTTCAATAATTTGGTAAAACATTGGAATATGACACACAGAGACATCAATGGATCACGGGGAGGAAGATGAAGGAGCTCTCTTTCAGGTATATTTGGAATATCTATGTGAAAATAAATGCCCAACTAAAGAATCCTTACCCTAAACATTATCTTATTCTCACATTAGCATTTATTGAGTGTGCTGTATGTATCAGACACTGTGCTAAGCACTTCACCTCTATAATCCCACTGAATCCTCCCAACAGCCCTACTGATATATGCATTTTACACCTAAGGGAAATAGAGTGAGGTTAAGTAAACTTCCAATGCACAAACAATTAAATGGCAAAGCCTGGATTTATTAACTCATAATTCTAAAACTGACTCTTAGCCACTACCATATATGGTGATAAAAAGAAAAAGAAAACAGCTTAATCTGAAGAATACTACAAAGATATTATCACTTTGCCAATATCAGCCCCACAGGTATACTGTTTTGGGCTTTGCCATGAGTCTGCTCAATAAACAACCTAATACAGAGAATTAGACTTACTTCATTTCATTAAGAGCTCAAGAGGCACTTCTGTAAATCTGGGAGGTTTATAAGGGCCAGGATGCGTCCATGCCCTCCTAAGTCAACATTCTTACCAAGTCGACATTGGTCCAGCATCTACAACATGACCAAAAAAGGCAAGGCTTCTGACTTTGGGCCAATATTGACTTGGATGGAAAAAAAAAAGGCAGGTTTGTGGGTTTTTAAGCATATTTGAGAATACCAGAGGCTGTACAGCTTGGCTTCAGTGAATGTCAGCTCAGGGCCAAAATATACCCATTCACAAAATGAAGTTTGTTTCCCTACTTTTTGTGGTGAAAGCCCCTGGAGTTTTGGCAGGCTTCTCAATCTGGCACTCAGTTGAACTGCTGCAGACAGGATGCAAACTTCTACTGGCCTATACTATGAGGCCTCATCTTTAAGTTCTAGAATCCCAAGAGGCTAAATGGTGAGAAGAGGAGGGCCTTAAAACGTATTAGCCCTGGGCCAGTCATGTTGACCCACAGCAACTCCTACTCTAATTCTACACACATCTCATACAATTTGCCCCAAATGATGGGGATTATATTTAATCACCTTATATCCTGCAAATGATCAGTGTGGTGAGACAGAACATATGAAGTACTAAGCAGTGTCTGGCATACAGGAATTTTTCGATATATGGCAGCAATTATTACAGATATTTGTAGTAGTACATTTTAGTAATAGCCATATGGGAGCTTAATAAACATTTGTCTCAGTATTGAATTTGGCAACCCTTATTGACCCATTATTTATTTTGAAAGACAAAGTTGAAACAGTCCAAAATAAGGCAAAATATAATTTGATTCATGTGATCTCTATTAAGATAATATACATTGTTAACCTTTCAAAGAAAAATATTGACAAAACATTGACATTTAAAAATTAAAGCTATAATTAATTATACTTTAGAATGCATTTATTTTTTTCCTTATTTTATCCTTAGAATACCTATAGAAATTACTTAGGCACTGTTTTATCCTTATTGAACAGAATTGTTTCATGTATTTAGCATTTCTGGCAAGTAATTGAGTGCTAGTGCCTGGTGTATAGCTAAATAAATGGACATAGTTACCTCTTATTAATGAAAGCCAGTTTAGATATTATTGACATTCCAACTCAACAGTATTTCTCACCTTACAGAGGTGAAATGAGAGATAGAAAGCAGAGGATACTGAGAAAATTCAAAAGTCTCTATTGGCTCCAAGTGCTAATCTAGGTACAATATATGCATCAACATGGAATTTTTGTACTTTGAGGAAAACGAATTAGTACAGTGATGACATAATCAACCAATTCTAGTTGATTTTTATTTCTCTTTTGATTTTTTATATTCCCTAGTTGATACATGTTCATATTTACCCTGGAATGTGTTAACAATGAAAAAAATAAGTTATAAGAAATATGAGATTCAATAAGGTACAATCATGTTTATGAATGTTCTTAACCATAAATGCATAGCTTGTCCAGGCCAGAAACAATTCAGTTTCTGAATTCAATGCCACTCTTGAATATGTTAACTCAGTTCTAAATGAAATGCATTATTTGTACAAAGTTCTACTTAATATTTAACATAATGAAGATTGTCAATTCCAATACATTTGCACTGCAGAAAATGCATTTGTATTGCTCAGAGTGCTTAATGAGTAATAATGCAATGAAGAAAAACCAAGACTAAGAGATGTGAACTAAAAACCAAAGTCACAACTCCTATAGGCAATGATATTAAGACTAGAACTTAAGTCTTAAGATTTTGTTATTTGTGTCCTTTTACTGTTAAATTGCAAGAGGAAAGTCTTTTTAAGGTAGCAAAAATAATATTTGTGGGGAGGAGACAGCAATAATATCTGTTCATGCAACTAACTAGGTATATGTGAGTGGGTAGGCACATAAGGCCAATGGGCACTGGGAAACATGTCTGTCAGGTTCTTTCTGTTTTGTTAGCTATTGAGTCAACCTGACTGAAACAAAGATGCATTTCACAAGAGTGAAAATTGGTTTCAGTCAATCCCTTTAGCATTTTCCAGGTGACTACATTTTTATAAATCGCCTGACAAAATCAAGCAGTTACATTGCTTCACAGACTTTGGCTGGAACATTAAAGGAACTGAATGATTTATGGAGGAGAAGATCAAATAGGTTGTGTTGTATCTAAATGCCTGTCCCATGAACCAAAAGCTGAATGTGAATTGGCAAATTAATGATTTTTCATTTTCTTCTAGGATTTCATGGTTTGGAATGCCTTGTGTTGAAGGGACACATTTCACCCCTTTTAAAAGTGCATCTTAAAAAAAAGTCACTGTCCTGCAAATCTCCCACATCAGCTCTGATTTCCCTCGCTCACCTGCTGCAATATTTATTTTTTCATGCCACACCATTACATTGCTTTGTTTTGTTTGTATTTTTCTCCAATTGTTTCATGAGTGCCTATGATACACACGAGTGCATATAATCTGAATCAGATTATATAGTAAAGACTTCTTTTGTACTTCTCATACTGTAGAAAGATAATACCTATTGGCTATTCCATGATGAATTTTCTGTGTAGGAATTAATTCAATACATGTTCTTCATTTGTACTGACAATATGTAAAGGACATTTTTGAGTCCTTTTCAATCCTTTAGGAGGGCAGCTCTTCTGTACTTCATTAAAATACAAACTCTTACTTTGATTTACTTTCAGCTCTAAACCTTGTTCTCCCTGTTAATGAAATGCATTTGTATCATGCATGAGATACATACTTCTTATTATGATTTAGAACCTTCCAAAACATTAATGTTGCTCAATAGAATTGCCATACCTAAGATTTAATACCATGCCTATCATTTTCTTGTTTCTCATTCTCTCCATCCTGAAGTACCGGGATTCTCATATAAGTAACTTTGCCTGAGCTTGGGTAAAAGTTGACTCCTAATGTAAGGTGAACTGGAGAAGAACATTTCTTTCACCTCTTTCCCTGATCTTATCTTTTTTATTCAGCATTCCCTCTAAAGAGAATTTCACTCACAGAATTAGAGAGAGACTCTGTACTCTTTTATCGTATCACTTTTAGAAACTAAAACCCATTGGATTTTTTGAGAATTAGGAATCATTATACTGTGCAGAGTTTGGGCTTTTTGACACATTTCCATTCCTTCAATTGAGCACTCCTTTTATTGGATCACTGGAATAAAATCATGATTATTAAACATGTCACAATATACAATTCTCATTTTATAATAATTTATGAAGACCTTGCTTAAATATATGTTCTCAAATCAATTTAAGTTGAGCACATATTAAGCAAAAATAAATTTAAAAATGCATCTTGCCTCTCAACAAAATATTTCCTTGCCTGAGTTGT
Organism: Homo sapiens; assembly: GCF_000001405.40. Lineage (NCBI taxonomy): Eukaryota > Metazoa > Chordata > Mammalia > Primates > Hominidae > Homo > Homo sapiens. Next base: position 239,720,882 of record NC_000001.11, on the reverse strand, counting down.
TCAAACTCCTGCAGATAAAGCATATTTAAATAAAGATAAGGGGCTATCACTTGCTCTTATTTTCATTATATTCAGGAGATGACCACTTTGATTATAAGTAAGAAGACTTAAAAATACTCATGATTTCCAACATGAATTACAGCACTTAAGACTTTGTCTTCTCGTTAAATCATGCTTATTCGTGCATTTTATATAAAAACTCTGGAGAATAACTTAACAGGAAATCTAAAATAAGAAAAAGAAACACTGAAATTCCCCAAATCTCTATAGATAAAACCCTTTAAGGCTTAGGATTAAGCATTTGAAAATATCAGGAGCATTTAAAATATGTTCATGCTTAGCTTTCTGTTCACTTGCTATCTGCAACATGAAAAGTCTGGCGTTGAGTGGCACGAGAGCATTACTGTTTCATTTTGATAATCCAAGTTTAATTTTAATACATCTTTTAATTTTACTTTAATTTAGGTTTTTTTGGGGTTTCAGAGGCAGAGCACTACTTTGTTTCTGACTAAATGACAAAAATCATTAACTGCCAGTGACTATATGAACATGATGTGAACAATATATGCAAAGAAACTAGGGCAAAGTTTTTTGTTTTAGAAAAACATATACTTATATTCTATATATTCTGAATGATCCTCATATAAACAACACAACATACAATATCTCAAAATGTTACTACAACACGGCTCATTACTTTGCAGGTTGCAAACGCAGCGTGTAAATCCTTTCCTCTCAACCATAGTAAGTAAAGACACAGATACAACACGGTTTGCAAGTCTTAGCTCTGCTCTGTAAACTTACTGCTATCATAGGTCTTCTGCATAAGTATTTTTAGTGCCCAGTTCCTAGTTCAGTGCTTAAAAATCCTGCCGATCCCTGGGTTGGAACAAAGCTTTCGGAAGCAATTAACTGCTTTTGCCATCCCAGGTGCCAAACACACACACAATGTCCTTTTATTTGTGGAAATACACACAGATCTATTCTGCATGTGCTCAGAGCTCAACACAAATATCACCCCTTTCCCACAGGCAGCAGGAAGGATGTGGTTTGAAGGACATAGTTGCTTCATCTGAATGTTCAGTTGTTCAAAAGATCTCTTGTTGCTACGCTGAGTTGCGGCTCTACTACCTACGTTTAAGAAGATATAACCAGGCCGTGCCCAAAATCCCACTTTTATCTATTTAAACAGGCATTCAAGTAGATCGTGCAATTCTTTGCCCCTTACCTTCAGTGGACACATGCTGAAAATGTGTTCATAATCAAAAGACATTCCCCAGAGCTGATGACCCAGTAATTCCTTACGTATACAGGTCAGCTGCAACAATACCGTACTAAAATCGCCAGATGAAATGGTCAGAATTACCCGGTGGCTTGATAAAATCAGCTTACTTTGAGTCTAATCCAAGGATAAATATACAGAAAGCTCCAAGCAGTGGAAACTGTAATCACCTTAGAACTGCCCCCTGAAACTGTAATACTGCCAGGAAAACAAATATTTGCTGAATTATAGGGTGCTATATTGGTTTTACCTGAATGCAATTAAGGGCTAAATAACTACAAGCTACTGTTTAAAGTGGACAGGTATAACCAAGAGCAGGGGACTAATTCTGCCAACACCACTAACACCAGTCCCCAAAAACCCTAACGATACACTCAGAACAAGCAAACCAGTAGATCTGATTACCAATTTCACATATCCTGCATTCTTGGAGCTCACCCATTTCATCATTTCCGGACACTCAGACTCTAACTAGGAACACCTAACTCATAGCCCTGTATTTTGCTAAGTTTTTCCTCTACTCTTGAGTCCTCCTTTAATCTATAGAGTGTTATTCTACACTGGACCTCTCTCTTATTTTTTGGAGTCTAGCATCTTGCATCTTCCTGGAGCCCCAACTAAACTCATAACTTCTAAGCTTCTAAGAAATATGTAAGTTTTTCAACTCTGTACATTAAGTCTTTTTGTGACCTTAAACTTACCTTAGAAAAAGATGTACTGTTAGTTACCAACTGCTTCTTCAGCCTTGCGTATAATGCCTGTTCCTCTTTATGACTCCCCTTCAAACTTACTAGCTCATGAGGATCTGTAATTTAAGAAAAGAGCTTTGGCAACAGGGTAGTTAAATTGCTACTAGTGGTTACTTCTGAATGACTTCAAGTTGATTCTTTCCTTGTGTTTTCTTCAATCACTTCTTATTTTTACTAATCAGTGTCACTATGTGTGAGCTATGACACTCCTTAGAACTATGCAAGTAGGCTTCAAAAAAAAAAGAATGGAAATTTGATGAAAATGTTTTACTGCTAACACTCAGCTAGAAATACCACCTCTGAAAAAGTGTACAAAACTCCATGTACCAGGTGGAATATTACTCCTGACCCAGAGTATTATATAAACATCTGTATTTTCTTCCCCAATTAGAAACAAATAGCTCTTGATGAAATGTCTGTGCCCTGGTCCTTCAGAAGTCAGTATCTGACTCTAAGATGCCAGGAAAATTTCACCTTGTGTCATGTTTCACGCTGAGGAGTTTGTATAGCGCTAGTGTAAACCTTGGTCTCTAAGACACATTCCATGGTGAATTTATTTCAAATTCCAAACTGAGTTTATTCCATTTCACTCACTTAAAATTCCAGTTGTGATTGGAAAATATACACTTCATTTACCTTCTGCGCAGTGTTCAATGAACCGCTTGTCATGTTTCACCCTAGTAGGTTGCATTTCAATCCTGAGTGTGTCTGTGTAGCAGCTGATTAAAGCTTTGCTATTATTTGTAAGGGATGTTATAACATGCACTGTCATCTTTCTTGGCATTTTTTGAAACGGTAACATGAGGATTCTGGCAAAATAATATGGTAGTTGCTACTCTTTCCTTACACCTATACCATTTACTTGTCAGTAAACAAAATCATGTTTTCAATGAAGTAGACAAATAGAAAACTCAGCTTCCCTATCCTGTTGTATCTTGTGCCACTCTCTATAAACTGACATGGCATAAAATGACATAGCTTGATAAACTGCTGGAGTCAAACACAGATTACTGCCATTTAGCTAGAGCAGGACACGTCACTTGAGGACACGGCCCCAAGGAATGTCAGTTCTAGAGGAGGAAGGATAGAACCGAAATGAGGGATCTGGTTCTTTGTTGTGTGTGGCTGAATTTCCCGGACATTGTTTAAGGCAGAAATGACAGGTAGCATAAAAGAGCAAACCTTACCTTAAGAAAGCAGATTATATAAGCACCCCCCTTGAATCCCAAATTCCTGCCACACTAGGACTTTACCACATAGGTTATTGCTCAGATCTGATGAAATGTTAACTCCAATCCGTAACCAACTGATAACAACCAAAAACCACATTAGTCATTATTTACTAAGATAACAACGATAAAAATCATGTGTGTGTGTGTGTGTGCGTGTGTGTCTTTCCTTGAGTTCTGTATCAGGATTTTATAATGCTGAGAGAGTTGTCTATTAAGAAACATGTTTCAACTTTATTCCAAAGAAATGGTCCCCACTACTCTCTGTGAAACTGTTAATGTCCAGCATGGCTCTTGTTATCAACAGGATCTATTCTATGCTTTCCTGGTACCAGCATAATTAAGTCAACAAAACTGGTTGCTTTCAAAGCCAATAACTATTCAAGGCTACTTCCTCTGCAAGGGCACAGTTTTAATACACCCATAAGCCTTATTCAGGATCTCAATCTTTTGCAGTTGAAAAATGAATCCAAGAACACCGTTAGAGAAGCTCACAATTCAACTCAGATCTTACATTTGAACTTTTTCTTTTTTGGAAAATGTACTCATGGTAACTTTATTCATGCAAAAAAAAAAACTGGAAGTGATTGAGAACATTTGTTTTTCTGGCATTGAGGACATTTCAATTATTGTCCCTTAATATGTCATCTCATAACTATTATCTGGAACAAGTATTCTTCAAATATGCCATATGGATGGTTAAAATCAAAACAAACTATTAATAACAAATCTAAACAAAGCCAAACAACCAAATACACATACAAATAAACCAAATGAACCCTCCTGTACATTCTCATTTTGTCAGAGAGCTACATCCCCGCTCCCCTTGAGCTACGTTTGGGCCCCTCCCTTCTTCTAGCAAGGTTTTTTAAAGTTTAGGTTCTTCTTTCCTTTCCCTTCTTCTCCCTTCTCCTCTTCCTCTTCTTTTTTTAATTCTATTTTAGGACCCACTGGTTAGCTTTCCTTATTACCAAATTAAAAATATTATTTATTCACTCTCTTGCAAAAAAAGGCTCTTTTGAGAGTCACACTGTTTAGCTGTAAACATCATTTCTCCCTGTGAATGGCTGGAGTCCCAGTGAAGCCTTCTACATTTAACAAAGGCTTTGGTACATGGCTTAAAGTCTTAATATCCAACCCAAGATCCTGGATGACGTCAATGCCCTTTTCGATTATCAACCAGCACCTGCTTTATAGCTCCCTATTATTCACTACAATAGTCTTTTTGAACCTCCACTCTGCTTCAGCCAGTCACAATCATGGAGACCCCAAACTTGGCCACCTCTATACTTGTTCACTCTGTGAAGTTATTCTCTAAACAGCGCCAACCAACTTTTCAACTCTACCGACTTTGTATTTCCACTCCATCAGTTCTACAACCTCATTCATATCTCAAATCCCCTAAAAGTATCACTTTCTTTACTTCTAAAAGCTCCCTTTGGCTCTACTTTCTTCTCTCTTTAACCTAGACATCATAGCCTATCACTTCAAACATCCTCCTGTTAGTACCCACTTCTCGTTTGAATTCTTGTCGTCCCTCCACATTTTCCTCCAGAATTTCAACCCAAGATCAATGCAATTATTTTATGTCTGTTTTCATACACCTGGGTTGCTACATTCTGGTTAACTTCATGTGACTCTGCAGAATGGTACTGGTACAAAGCCCTGGTCTTCAACATCACTAGGACTTCAACACTGTCCAAATTTCCTTCCACATCTCCTTTTCTTTCAAGCTTTAACTGTTTCTTCCAATCCAACAGTATGTACAAACTGCCACTTCCTCACTCTCAGCAAAGCCCTCCTGTCCTAATTTACAGGTAAAATAGCCTGTGAAGTGAGAATTAACTCAATGTCCTTTCCTCCCTATGAACTGATTCCAGCCTAACTCTTTGCCACCCAACTCATTAGAAGAGATATCTTTTCTCTTATCCAAAACTAATCTTCCCACTTTTACTCTGGATCCTACCTTCCTCCCTCTTTATCTGTTTTATTAGCAATCCCACTTCTCACACAAACCTTCAACCTCTCCCATCCCATTGGTTTCTATGTGGTGGTGCACTGGAGCTGATAGCTAATTGTAGGTATCTTCTCAAATCTGCATTCAATAAGGTATTCTGAATGCCTTCTGCATTCTTCCATGATAGTTTTACTCCAGCCATGGTGACGGTATTTACGCCATGGTCATCTGTAATAGCTACAAATTAGAGCTTTTATTTCTCCTCTGGAGGCCTGGTTTATCAGAACACCACTGCACACACGCCTTCTCAAAACAAAACAAATAAAATCATTGACAAAAATTCTGGTGCATAGCCTATTTCCTCTTCTAGTTATAGTGCCCTCTGTCCTTTTATGTTCTAACTACTTAAAATATGTAGTGTGTACCCAATCATTTGCTCTTAACCAATTTAAATATGCCTTTAATTCTTAACAGTTCTTCATTGAAGTTGATATTTCCAAGGTAATCAGTAACTCATAGTTGATAAACCTAATGGGTCCTTCTCAGTTTTTACTCACTTAATCTGTGGTATTTGATATTGTTAGCCACTCCCATCTTATAATTCACTCTTTCTCTGGCTTCAGGACATCATCATTCCCTGAATTCCCCCTTACCTCCATGGTCTTTTCTTTTCTGGGTTCTTTTCATTTGTCTACCTTTTAGCAAGTTTTTCCACAGTACTCTTTCTCAGCTTAAACTATTGGCAAAATCTTCATCCCATGCAATGCCATGTCTCTCTCACATCTCTCTCACATGCTGTAGTTACCACTGTACAACTGTCCACTTAGGTCATTCAAGACATCAGGCATCTAAAATCCCCAAACTCATCAAATTTTGCCTCCTTCCTTGTCACCTCACCTACTCTGGTTCTCCTGCCCCTCAGTCTATTCTTCACAACTGAGCTGAGCTAATATTTTCTAGGCACAATTCTGATTGTATCACCCCTGGCTTAAAACACTTGAATTTCTTCCCTACCTCTTCAGCTACTTCTGCAGCCTCATTTTCCACTAGGCTTTCCCTTCCTGCTGTGTTATGTGTTTGTGCAAATTCTGTCCTTTCTGTCTCCTCCCCGTCCTGTGCCTGTGCACCCTTCTACCGCAGGGCCTTGGCACAAGCTGTCTTCTGCCTCTGCTCATCCCTCCTCACCCAAGTAACTCTGATTTACCTTTCGGGTCTCAGCTTAACTGGACCTTCCAAGAAGAAACGTCCCCTGAGCATTCTTGATGAGCTCACATCTCACTATCAGGTGCTCTCAGAGCACTCTCCACTGCCACCTTTTATCTGAAGCATTGTGAGTTAGGTGCAGTATCAGAAGAGCAGCTTTTTGTTTATAAAATTGCTAACACCTGTTTCTCTCTTTAGATGACGAGCTCCATGAGGGCCAAGGCTCTCCATTCTTGTTCACCACTGCACACTCAGGAGCTCATGGCATGCTGGCTGTGCTAGTTCTGTGAGTATTTATTGAATTAATGAATGAAGATCCTGGAAATTTCCAGAAGTTCTTCAGATGGGAAAACTAATAGAAGGCTGGGTTTCCCGCAGGCAAGCAAAAAGCAGTTTTAAGTCTAAGAACTAAGGCCTTGAGAGACATCTTCTAATTTTGTAAGCATTGCTGGTTAGGCATACACAGATGAATTACCCAAATGATATGAAAGAAATCTGCCGTATTAACATCATGTCTGGTTTAAAGAACAGGGCTTAAAACCTTAAAGAGGTACATACATTTCTCTGGGCTTATGTTTTGTCCCTCGTCCATAAAACAATTTAATGGAACACCGTTTTTTATACTTAAATAAGGTGATCACACAATTTATCATCCAGACTAAGGCATGTTTGTTAGTGAAAGAGAGTAATCATAATTGTGCCTCAGCAACAGAGGTAAACTGCAGAGGTCTCCAGCAAACTGGGACAAGTGGTCACCCCAGCTGTGGCTGACATAACAGTATGATATAGGGAAATGCAAAATTCTCTGTCCATGGAGATCTGTGATGGGAGCTATAGAATAACTAAGCCCAACATAGAGGGATGCTTCTCATCAATGTGATGTTGGTGTTTGTGCAAATTGTAGAAGAAGCAATGCATCTTCAATAATGCAGTAAACAGAATAAGATTACAGTTGCATTCAGCATTTTACATTTTATTTGGAGCTTGTTCTGTTTATTATTTTATTTTGTTCCCCTCAACATACCTATTTTAATTCCTCAAAAAGCCTTTGATGAGCAATGGGCCAGGCACAATTGTGATGGAAAGGAAGAACAAGATATCAACCATCCCTAGAGAATCGACAGTATAATTACAGAGCAAATAGTGTCATCCATAATTACAGATTAAGGAATGGACACCCAGAACTCAGAAATGACTTGGTTAAGGGTGTGTAGATAATAAACAGTATAACTGGAACTGCAATTCAGATCTCTGACTTCCAATTCGGAATTCACTTTATTTTGCTCAGCTGCCTCCCACTTAATGTACTTAATGTACTTTATGCTCTTGTCTTCTACCGCACAGAAATGCCCATGAAGTACGTTGACACAGTCTTTGCAGAAGCAGATTGTGCCCGGGCTTAGCGGGCAGTGTTTGTGTTGCCCGTGTGGACTTCCTTTTTAGGCGCTGGCTTCTGGCCCTGTGTCAGGGATTGGAAGGGGATTTAAAAGGCCAAGCACATCTCTGATTAACTTGTCGCTGTATCATACCTATGTTTAAATCCTGGGTAAATTAAAAGGACAAAAATATGTCTTTTTACTTCATGATCAAATTCCACTGCAGAGGAGTAATGAAATAGTCCAGATATGGTCAGGGGATAACCCTGGGGATAACAGACCATCTCTACTCCATAAAATGTGGGTATTTGTCCATGATGAAACATTGGACCTTTTCATTAAAGAGAAACACTATTTATTAGTGCTTTGGGGTTTACAAAATACAGTCTTTACCGAATAGATTTATTACTGTTCTCAGATTTCTAAGGGAAACAGCTTTTAAGATTGCAATGCAAGTATTCGAGGAAATGCGGCATTATGCTTAAATTCTTTTAAATGCTAGCAACAGGCACTGGTTAAAAGGTAAAGTATTTTCAATAGTCAGAGATACCCCAGCTTACAGAGACTTCTGTTCTTTCATTCATTCCAACTACATACTTCTGCTAGCATAAGATCCTGATGATAAAATTGAAAGGTGAATTTTGTCATTTTCAACTTTCAAAAAAAATTTCACTTATTTTACAGAAATATTTCCTAAGTAAGAAATGACTTTCAAATAATCTTTTTTCTTTTTCTGACCTGAAGAGAATTCTGTAAAGGACAAAAGCAAAATCAAAATAGCTCACAAACCAACGAAGTCATTCCAATCACAACCAAGGATAACTAAAATAGAAGACTCCTAAAGTTACCTGAAATTGATCGGGGACCAAGATAACTGGGACAATTATAGTGAATAAAATTATTTTTTAAACATCTATAAAATTATTGATCCTATGCTCATGACAAAGATGGATACAATGTATAATTGAGATTAAAAATAACCTTCTCTTTTTGGGTAGTCTGACAGTTTATCTTAAAGGGAGGGTTTTCTTTGTTGGAAATATTTCTGAATGGGCTTACTAGAGGCAAAGGCTGAGATCAAAAGGCATCTAAGCCTGGGGGGATGGGCTCTGGGGAGCCCTGGTATGGATCTAGCTATAGCTAAAGGGGAATGGGGCTGGATGTGGAGTTTGAGAACAGCTTGGGCAATAGAGTGAGACTTCATCTCTACATTTTATTGTTTGTCTTAAAGTTAGCAGAGTATGGTGGTGCGTGCCTGCAGTCCTAGCTACTCTAGAGGCTGAAGCAAGAGGATCCCTTGAGCCCAGGATTTTGAGGCTGCAGTAAGCTGTGTCTCACCCCTGTTCTTTAGTCTGGGCAACAGAGTGAGACCCTGTCACTAAAAAAAAAAAAAAGCAGAGAGAGAGTGAGAGAGCGGGAAATGGGGATGTGAGGATGGAGAGAGACGGAGGGAGTGGGGCAGTGGACTAAAGGTTTGGTGGAAGGAGATCTATTGTTTTGTGATCCTCTCCTCAGGACCCCTCAAGTCCTCTGGAACTTGATGAACTTATTAATGATTTATAAATAACAATAATTTATTATTTCTTACTATTTAATATTAATATCGTATATTATTATTTAATGATTACTGATTTATTAAATCTTTGGGCTGATGGATGGAATGGGGGGTCTGGGTGGCCAAGCATTATTGAACCACATGGAAAGAGGAGTGCAGACACTGGGGACTGAGCAGGAGTAAACTCTGAGTAATGTTCAAGACTTTTGGGGAGCACCCGGGACTCAAAGGATGCAAAGTTGGATGGGGGTCAGTAAAGTTTATCCAGTCTCAGAGGAGCAAGAAAACTCCAATTTGTTATTGGGGTTACAGACACAATCCATGCATGACCCCAAAACCTTACGGTGTAGTGGAAGAAGCAGATGGGCAAACAACACACAAGGGATGTGTATTTATCTAAGGAATCTCATCTGTGCCACTGCAGCTGCATCTGTACAATGTCCAGGGCCCAGAGGAAGGCCTCACTTATGCTACCTGGAAACTCAGGGCGGTATTGTGGGGAGGTGGCATTTTTGCTGGGTCTTGCAGAATGAGTGAGAGTTGTCAAATAGTTTTGAAAACTCAGAACAGTATTATTTCAATTTCCTAAAAAGAAGCCAAACGAAGCTGGGAAAGAAGGAGACAGGCTTTCTTGGTGGGAGGTATAGCATGAATGAAGTTAGGAACACGGCAGGTTGTTTGCGGTGTGGTGAGAGGTACCAGGGTACATGGTTGAGGAGTGGTCAACCTTCACTCTAAAGCCATATTTATTAAGGCCTTAAAGCCTATACTTATTTTCTTTATGCTTAGAAACAAGCAACTTGTCAAGAATTGAGATATAAGAAAAAAATATTAATTTACTTTATCTAAACTTGGCATTCAATATAGTTACTAAATTCTCTGTCTGATACCTGGTTAAATGACTAAATAATAGTCAGTAAATGATTCTAATTTAAGCTTAACTGAAGCTTGTATCTAAAGTGAACCACAGGTCCCCTCCTCATCTCCTCATACCCTCCTGCTCATATGTCACATACCCAAACCCATAGCATATCTATCTCCACAGTTTTAATGATCTTAATCATTTACAATGTTATTTCTCATCATTTAGGTTGTCAGGTGTTCTTTGCATTATCAGCCTGCCTATAGATATGGAATTAATAAGATTATACAAAATATTTGCCCAACTTAGATCAGAGAATTTTGCAATTTCCTGATCAACTGCAAGATTGATCTTCCACAATATGGATGTAGTTATATACATACAAACACATATATATGGGTATAGTTACATATATAGAGAGTATCTATATGCATACAGTTATATATATATATTCAATAATATGGATATAGTTATACATATAACACTTAGATGCAGATAATGAAAAGACTGTTATTTGTTTTTAATTGGCTATTTAATTGTTTGATTCACAATGTTTGTTTCTGGAATTCCATGACAAGTCCAATAACATTAACTAGCTTTCAAGGTCGATGTCAGCAAAATGAAATTGCCATTAGAAGCATCACAATCAGTGTCCTTCCTCATTTGGCATAGGTGGAGGAGGACTGCAGAGTTACCTTTAGTAATATCTCATGATACAATGATGCTTCATGTCAAATAGCAATTAATATCATTTTAACTTAAATAATGTGGATATTATTTTACATTTTGATATTAATTTTTTTAAAACACTTGAGGTTTAAAGAAAAGATAAAACAAGGTAGCTTTGTCAAGAATGAGAATTTAGATCTTCACTGGTTAATCTCTTTAATTTCAAATTTAGCTACTTAAGTGGAACGTCCCAACTTAAAATAAATGTCTAGAAATTGCCTCATAGGTTAAAGAACTCTCAAAAACCTGTCCCTGACAATGGTATTTCCAAAAGCAGCTAGTGACAACAGGTTAAAGGGATTTATAGCCCCCTTTTAGCAGCTTAATGTCTATACAAAGGAATTCATTCATTCACTTCTTTTTTTCTCAACACGTATGGAACCCCTGCCACACAGGCAGCACTGTCCTAGCTGGAAACATGAGTAGATAAAGTCACTGATTCAAAGGAACTTTATTCTACTGGTGGGCACAAAATGGCAGCTAAATTTATAAGGTAACATTGGCTGCTTTACGGAAAAAAACAAAGCAGGGTAGGTGGGTACAATGAGTGATTGTCAAGAGTATGACTATTTTAGACACGGCGGTCGGTAAAATCCGCCTCAAGGTGGAGGCATTAGAACCAAGACCTCTGCTCACCAGCAGGCAGTCTGAAAAAGTATTAGACAAAATAACCCAGAAAACAAAGACTTGGGGTGGCAAACAAGCTTCAAGTGCTCAAGAAACTGTAAGAAATGTTGATGTGACTGGCCTGAGTTTCAGTCTGAAAACTTTGGGTGCTAAATAGTGAACATAGTTGCAGAAAAATAGAAAGTAAAAGAAAGCATTGTACGTTTAAACATATGCAAATAAATAGGTAGAAACAGATAGAAAACAGTATGTTTTAGGGAGTATAATTTTGGGGTAACATATCTTTTATTATTTTTCCTAACTGGGGAGGGGGTGGAAGACTATATTGCCAACAAAATGAAAGCTTTTACCCCCTAAACATGTCAAACAATTCAGCAGCTGATAATTACATTTATTGGAGTTAAAAAATAAAGTGGGATCTTAAGGAGAATTAGTTTATTTGAATCATGGTGACTGAGAGTGAAAAGAGAAAAAGACAAATGTGAAACTTCTGTTTCATCCACTAAGGAGTCAGCAGAAAGTACCACGGAACCTACAGACCTCAAACACCAAAAAAAAAAAAAAAAAAAAAAAAAAAGAAAATTTAAACCAGAAGAAACAAAGAGCCAGGAATAGAACAGTAACTTTGGCAAAAATTGGCCCTTTCTGGATGGGGCTTATATTTTTAGGTGGTTAAGCCCACAAATAAACACACAAAATTATGGGATGAACATTTGTGAATGGTGCTGCGGAGAAAAATAAAGGAGATGCGGGGTTTAGAGAGTCCCAGGGGTGGAGGTGCTGAGATGTTCTTTTACGTAGGATAGTTAGGAAATCCACCCCAGTAAGAGAGGCTGGGAAGCCACTGGAGGGTGTTGAGTAGAGAGTGAATTTTGGAATACGACTCCAGCTACTGTGCAAAAGACAGGTTGAAGGGGTCAGTGCTAAAGCAGGGAGGGCAATTGGAAGTCTCCTGCAATCATCTGAGTAAGAGCTAATCCAAGCTTGGACCAGCATAAACAGTGAGAATTTGTGAAATTCTAGATACAGCTGATGAGCACTGATGAATGAATCCAACTGGGAGCATGAAAGAAGAGCCAGATTCAAGGATGGCTCCAAGGTTTTGGCCTGAACCACCACAAGCTTGTTGCTATCATTTAGCAAGAGGCAGGGGAAGATCACATACACATGGTTTAGTCTGAAACATAAAGTGTTATTACACACCCTCAATTATCCTTCAGGCCACGTCTTCTCCCATGTTGCAGAATTAGCACATTCACTTACTGCCATTTCCTGCCTATGAGGAGTTAAATGGTATTTTTTTCTTCAAGAAATATTCCACAGTAGTTGTTTAACATGTTAGAGACAGATTGAAGAAAGAGTTAAAATAGTATTCATAAATGAATTTAATCTGTATCATAGTCTGAAAGATTGTTTCAAGGCCAAGGCCCAATACTCTTCTATATTAAATTATCTCAAGGTATGTTTATTTTCAATCCATGCTTAAGTTTAGCTACAGAGTCAGGGATAAAGTAGGATAAGTGAAGGTATTTAATTATTGTTTTCTTTTCCAGATCCTCAACAGAATAATTGCTGACAAACTCTCTTGCCCAGAAAATGTCTACTGGAATTATGGAGTACAAAAAAACTACAAAAGCAATGAAAAAAAGAAGGATGTTTTATTTACATCCTATTTCAAAACCATTGCTTTCTTGCTATTGTATGTCTCTGCAGGCCCAATATCGCGCATCTTCATAAGAAGTTTAGAATTGTTCCTTATGTTTCCTTCTAACAAACACTGGTATATTCACATGAAAGTGTATATTTTATTCACTTCCAAAACAGTTAGCTCATAATTCAGAACATTGAGGTTTGCAAAATGACTGAAGGAAACTTTACCTAAACAATAGTTGCCAGTTCTGCTGAGAATTATCACGGGCCCACAACGGCTGTGTGTTTTTCCATACAGATATTCTAATTTTTTTATTATGCAGCTAATTTTTTTTTAGACTCGCGAATAAAATAGCAAGTCAGTCTGTGCATAAGCATATGTTTAAATCTACCAGGAGAAATGTCTGGAATCTTTTTGGTTATTAAAATTAAAATTCAGGATAATGAAAGGCATATGCAACTTATTATATTCTTTATATAACTTATTTCATCTAATCCTCCAAATAGCTATATAACATATTTATCCCCACCTTACATAGATGTTAACCAAAGTCTGTAAGGTTCGTTCATTTGTCCACAGTTACCCAGAAAATTGTTTGTGGAGCTCAGTACAAGGCTGACTGCCAGACTCCAAAGTCTATGTTCCTTCTACTACCATACATTGCCTTTGTTTTTCTTTTATAAAAGTTGAAAAAATATCATTCTGCTTTTCCTACTTTTCCGAAAACTATTTATGATGATAAATCCAGTTTTTTGTAAGTAGCTCTTTAGCATTTCAATGCATGTAGCATCAGGCATGTGCATTTGTGCATGCCTGTGAATGCCTCTGCATGTGTGTACATGCATACGTGTGTGGGGGTGCATGCCTGTGCATGCCTCTGCGTGTGTGTGTGAGTACATGCACATGGGTGTGGGGGTGCATGCCTGTGCATGCCTCCATGTGTATGTGTACATGCACACGTGTGTGTGGGTGCATGCCTCCGTGTGTGTACATGCAAGTGTGTGTGGGTGCATGTCTGTGTGTGTGTGTGTGTGTGTGTGTGTGTACATGGACACATGTGTGGGGGTGCATGCCTGTGCATGCCTTTGTGTGTGTGTATGTACATACACACCTGTGTGGGGGAGTAAGAGGGGGCAGTGCCGAGAGGGAGCAAAATTTTTTTCTAGGTGTTAAGTTTCAAGAAGTTGGTGAAATGGAGACAGCCAATCCAACCCAGGAGACAGTGTTTGAAAACAGGGCTTCAGCTACTTGCATGATGTGGATTGGGGAAATGGTCTGTCCTCCTAGCCATGGGATGTCCCTGCTGTGTTCAGGAATCTTTCCATCTCTTGGATTTTAAAGGAAAGTATCCTTTCTGTCAGTAAAGTTTTCCTTCAATCCCATAAATAAATCATTTACAAATAATCTTCTAAATATTTAGAATGTAATAATAACATAATTATAAATTATATTAATAATGTATGTTTATTACATTTTATTGCATATTCACTATATATAATATATGTTAGTTTGTATTTATTATAATTTAGTTGTATATCATGAATTATTTATAATTCACATATAACTATAATATATAAATATAACATAAAATAAATTTAATAATTTATAAAAAACAATTTAAAATAATCTAAATAAATGATAATCATTCTCTTTGACATCCAAGCTCCTTATCAGACTTACAACATTTAATTCTTACTTCTCTTTTATTTTTAATCTCATCTACCTTTATCATTTGTATTACAACTTTGCATCTCAGTTGTATATAAAAGCTTACTTAGTATTCCAAGGTAATTTTATCACCTTGTACACACTGGCCATGGAGCTCCATTGCCTAGAATAATGTCTCTATTCTTTATGTTGAACATCAAGGCTACTTGATATATATATATATCGTGAATCTATCTGCCAGCCTAAACGTCATTTTCTCTTCTTTATATCCTCATACAGGTTAATTTTTCCTTCCCTATAAAGATAGGGCCTTTATAGAGGTAATCGCCTTAAAATGAGGCTATTAGAGTGGCCTTAATCCAACATCACTAGAGTTCTTAGAAGAAGGGGACATTTGGACACAGAGACATGGGGAGAACGCCATATGAAGACGAAGGCAGAGATTCATCTACAAACCAAGGAACTACAAAGACTGCCAGCAGCCCCCAGAAGCCAGGCGGCAGACATGGAACAGATTCTCCCTCACAGCTGTCAGGAGGAGCCAACCCTGCCTCCAGAATTGTGAAGCACTAAGTTTCTGTTGTTTAGGCCTTCCAGTCTCTGCTACTTTATTGCAACAACTCTAGCAAATTAATGCACAAATGGCAGAATGGTATTTTTCAACTTTTATGAGAAAAGTAAAGGCAGTTATAGTAGAAGAGAGCATCATGAGTCGACTGTGCTCAGATAGGGCTATTTGCTTTTCCCCAACTATGCTCCATACTTTTTTCTTTTCATATGTTTTTTTTGAGTCGGGGTCTTGCTCTGCTGCCCAGGTTGGAGTGCAGTGTCATGATCATAGCTCACTGTAACCTCGACCTTCTGAGCTTGAGTGATCCTCCTGTCTCAGCCTCCCAAGTAGCTGAGACTGCAGGTGCATGCCAACACAGCTGGCTATTTATTTGTTTTTATTTTATTGTAGAGACAGGGTCTCATTGTGTTGCCCAGGCTGGCCTCAAACTTCTGGCCTTAAGTCATCCTCCTGTCTTGGCCTCCCAAAGTGCTGGGACTATGGGTGTGAACCCATCGCACCCAGACATTTTGTACTTCTTTAATTTGGAGTGTCTTTCCTTTCCATGCATGCCTATAGAATTTATGATTATCATTTAGCCCAAAGAAGACTTTCGCATAAATTCTGCCGTAACCCTTGTTGGAATAAATGTATTCCTCTAAGCTCCCTCTAGCTCTATTTGTATCTTTATTATAAATATTAATATATCTTTCCTTGCATTGCTGTTACATGTATGCACATCTTATCTTCTGGCAATAAATAAGCCTCGTCCCTTGGGGGAAGGGCTAACCTTTCCTCCTTCTGGTATTGCTCAGGATGCTGACCACAGCACCCTGCACAGAGAAGAGGTTTAATATTTATTTTATTACTTAAATTGCATAAGAGGGATCTACCTACTTGTGAAAAAGGTTGCTGTGACCTGTGTTCCTTCTTCTGTGACAAGAAACTAAAATGTACATATATTCTCTTCTTGATGTTCTTTCGAGTTTTATCTCCTTCCTAGATCTGGTTCACCAGATTTCCTCCCCTCCTTTTTTTTCATCAATACAAAACTTCAAGTCGCAGTCTTGCCAATAATTCTTCTTTGACTAATTTATGAGTTAAATAAAGAAAAAATTCCTCACACACATATCATGTCCAAGGTCAGCTCAACATTGCTTTATTCCACACCTCTCAATGGGTGTATGATGCGGGCCCACTTTAACACTGTATCAGTGGTTGATTCCTACGTGCAGATCTTTCTGCTCTTTTTGCCTGAATTATCTTCAATGTTCTTTGTGCAAAAATCACAGCCAGTATAGTCTATTTCCAAAAGAGCTGTAAAGAGGCATTTCAGAAACTTCCCTAAACAATATTTCTTTAAAATGCACCAAGCTGGATAAAGCCGCTTTGTGACCTGCATAAAAACTCCAACGGATAAATGTGTATTACCTTCCCAAAGAACTACTTCTCCAAAGTTATTCCAGCTCTTTCCAGTTGAAATGTCAAACTTGACATAAAAATGAGATGTTCTTGCATCAATTAATAAACAAATAAATCTGTGTTTCCCATTGCCCTTTTCATTCAGTGCGTTTAATGATTTGGTTGAAGTTACTGGTTACCTGTCTGTTTCCTCCATTATATTTTATTCCTCAGGAATAGAATCTACATTCTATTTGCCTTTATGTCTCCAAAACCCGACACAGAGTGGGTGTTCAAGTAACTTTACTGATATCAGTAATTTGCATAGGTAAACAATTCTGAATAGAGTGAATCAAACACAAACTTCAAGTAGATTCAGCAATTCTTACAGGATGGCATTATCACTTTAATGATATTTCTCAATTTGTGTTACAATTTGATTAAACAATTTTTACCCTAAAGCTTTGAGAACAGGTTTTCTGACAATTGTATAATTTGATTTTAATGCTTATGTCAGAGGGCATATGTCTTGGGGAAAGGATAAAAGAAAATAACAGATTGCTAGGTGACAGTCATCAACTGTTTGCCTTCATGAATTTCTTGATTTGTATGGTAGTCATTTCCCACGCTTCTCCTCAAAACAAAATAAAATCAGAATAATAACATTAATCTTTTATGTTTTCCTTTACTTGGCAACTCCCAAATGTGACGGAACCTGGAATTGACTCACATTTTGCTTTTTTGTCCACAGACACAGCAATAGTGAAAGCTGAATCATTCAGCTCAGAGGATTTTAGTGTGTGAGGACATGCAATCTCCAGACAACTTAGGAACTTCCTCTGTTACCTGAGGAACAAGAAATTGATGTGAACTTGTAAGATAATTGAGCAAAAAAGAATTTCCCAGGAGAATAGAAGTATGGCTTATCAATGTTCCTCTCTTTTTAGAACATCAAGCCCACTGCCATAAAGCCTAAAGTTGGGGGGCCTAATCAATATATTTCTGGGGTGGTGATACTACTTTGAATTAATTTTAACAATATCTGACATGGGAGAGTGGAATAGCAGTCTGTGGGATTTGTGAAGCACTTAAAAATATTATCAATTTGCACATGGTATCTATTATAGATTATAGATGTTGCTAAAATAAATATACTATGAATCAGGACACACAAAGAAAGTTACCTGTAACAGGCTACTTTCTTTGAATGGGAATTCAGGTCTGCACAGAAATATATAACTAAGTGAATTAAATTTGTTTCTTAAAATCGTATTACCTGGTGGCACATGCCTATAATCCTAGCTACTCAGGAAGCTGAGGCATGAGACTCACTTGAACCCAGGAGGCAGAGGCTGCAGTGAGCTGAGATCGCGCCACTGCGCTCACTCCAGCCTGGGCAACAGAGTGAGACTCTGTCTGAAGAAAAAGAAAAAAGCAAAGTGAGAGGTGAATTTTCTTTTTGTAAATGGTAGACATTAAGTTAATATGCCAGACAGAAACTTTCTGCAAGCTATTATAATACTAAAGTTTTTATTTGGGAAGGGAAGAAGACAATGCTTACCTTCCTAGACTTACAAGTGAAATGAACATTTGTGAAAGTTAGCTCAGAGTAGCACCCAGAGGGAGATTACTTAGCAAACAGAAGAAGTTGTGTACAGTGTTTGCAAAACCAGAACTTACAGCAGCATCCTCCCTTGATATAAATGCCAGAACTGAATCCAAAACACCCATGTTTTGGGGGCAAGTAGGCAGCTCTTCAGAAATACTGTTAGAATAACTGGGTATAGGTTAATTACCCCAAAATGTTATCCTCAACTTGAAATTCCAAGATCAGTGACGAATTTAAGTACTACCTTCCTTTAAAAGGTAAATAAGTCAACCAAAGAGCAGCAACATTCACCAAGCATCAACCATCTGTTTAATGCTATTTGAGGAAAAACGGTTTCTACCAAAGCATTGAATGAAATTGCTTCTCCTCGAGGAAACTTCCCTGCAGCCCAGAAGAAGAAGCTTGACATGACTAGAACTATAAAGTGATAATATTAATAGAAAAATTATTATCTAGACATTAGGAGTTGACTTAGAGTGATTAACATAAACAAAAGCAAATAAATTACATGGAGAAAAGAGGTTGAAATCTGGCCTTTAAAGAGTAGATAAGATTTGGATAGTTGATAAGGAGAGTGAGGAATATTCCAGATGGAAGGAATAGCATGAGCGAGGAATGGGGTGAGAAGGAGCAAACATACCTACGGCGATCGGAGTCCAGGCTGCATAGAACAATGGGTGGGTTAGGAAGGAATGAGATGACTGAGGCCATGCACTCTACACAGAGGGATCTGCATTTCTAACTGGAGTCTATTAAAAGATCAGGAGCAGAAGAGACGTGATGAATGTGATATTTTAGGAAAATGATCAGGCAATGTTATGCAGGATGGATGAGAACGTGAGAGGTAAGAGCCAGATAGCTGAGCTAGGTAATTACTGGCACAACTCTAGGCCTAATTTGATGAGGGACAGCTGTCAATCATGACAACAAGGAGGAGAACTTGACAGTCATTTTAAGGACAGATCTTGCACACCTTGGTGACAATTCTTGGTGAATGAGGAAAGATTCAAAGAAGAGAAAGAAGCATGGAGGACCCAGTGGGAAACGGAAAGGTTTTCAGCGCCATGCCTCTGGGCACCCCTCTGTCTGGTCTTGCTCATTAGTTTATCAGTACATGCTAGAGAGAGAAGGCTGTCTGAAGACCACACAATCCCGTGAAGAACTGGTAGAACGAGGACCAAAAAGTCCTCAAAATTCTGCCTAGTTGAACTGACTTTAGGAAGATGATGGTCAGTGGTACTATGTGCAGAGTTCTATGCTTAGGTTCAAAAAATTAACTGCACAAGTAAAAGAGTGGAGAACTTTAGTCAACTGGATTGCCAATCAGTCAGAAAATGTCTTAGGAACTTTAGTTATTATTAAGAAGACAACTGAAGGGTAAATAAAAGTAAAGGGTAGAAACAGCTGATAAAAGCGTCACACAGGTTTTAATCATTAGTGGAATATAGTTAGGATAAGGGAGATGGTAGCTCTTTTCCTCCAGGCTGTTCACATCATATCTACAGTACGGGTCCAGTCAAGGGAGCTGCCCTTTCAAATGAGATCAGGCACATTCAGGGTGGTATGATAGACAGGAGCTGCCCTTTCACACACAAATTACAAACTGGAACACTTCCCAAAGCCGCTAGGTAACTTAGATAAGGAAACACTTCTTAAGTAAGAAAACAGGAGGAGTGTGCCAAACTAAAGAAATAACGTCCCACACATCTTTCTTAATTTTCCTCCCAAACACTCAAGGACCAAAAACGAGTCTGCGGGCTACAGGTGCATGACTGTCTCTAATAGGAATATGCCCATTAAGATGCCAGTGGGACTTAAAGGCATATGCTGCAGGGGACAGGGGATGAACTGAGAATGTTTACCTAGGAAAAGGCTTGTTTGATAGCGCTTTTCAAAGTTCTGAGGGGTTATCAAGTGAAAGTGGAATTAGATTTGTTCTTCATGATCCTGTCAGAGGGCAGTACCAGCATTAATGCATAGAAGTTTCAGAGTTTGGGACTTGCTTTTTAGGGCAATTTTCCAATGGTCAAAGATGAATATCTGTAAATTAGACTGACTTGTGAAATAGTGAGCTCCTTGTCACTGAACGTACTCATGCTGACATTAAATGGATACCTGCTGAAGATGTTATAGACGGAATGGCATATATTAGATGGGATGTGAGGTTGATAGCCCCAAGATCCTTTTGAAAGCTGAGATTCTAACATTATATCACACCCAGTTCTCAGGAATGGCGGAATAAAAGGGAACACTGGTACCTCGATAGAAAGGTATACAAGTTGATGAGCAAAGAGTCCAGTAGTTGTTACTTAGTATTTCTTTTATGAGGATCTGTTTATCAGATATCACCTTTCTTCCATGAAAAAAAATTAATTAAATATCTGAAGGCATAGGAATTCAGGTTTCTTTTTTCCTTCCAGAGTGATGGAAAATGAATCCTGCTGAATAGAATGAAAATTAAGACTAGAAAAAAAGTAAAGACAACAGAAAATAAACCTAATTTTCTTCCCTATTTTCTTAAGGGTGTTATCAAATATAGTTCGGATAGTCTAACTAATAATTTAGAGAGTTTTGGTCACAGTTTCAGGTTCAATGCTGTTAGGTTTCAGAGATATGTTTTCCTTATTCTTTTGGGTATGCAATTTGTTATAACCAATTTGTAAACATTTAGTCAGTGTTTCCATGTTTCATCAAATAATTCCACTTCTGAGAATTTATACAAAGGAAGTAATGTGGAATACACAAAAATACTTTATGTATGAAGACATACATCCTAATTTTATTGTTATGAACAATCAGAAATAATTAAACAACACATGATATAGCCACTTGTCTTAGTCTGCTCAAGCTACAGATCGGGTGACTTAAGCAAGAGAAATTTATCTCTCATGGCTCGAGTCTGGGAAGTCCAAGATCAAGATGCTAGACCATTCAATTCCTGGTGAGGGTTCTCGTCACTTGGCAAATACAGCTGCCTTCTCAACACATTTTCACATGACCTCTTCTTTGTGCAAGTGTGAAGGAAAAGACAAAGAGAGATAGCTATCTCTTCTTATAAGGGCTCTAATCCCTTATAAGAGGGCATTGAACCAAGGCACTAATCCTATTGGACCTCATCTAAGGGTAATCACCTCCCCAAACTCCCCTCTCCAAATACCATCACACTGGGAGTTACGCTTCAACATATGTGTTTTGGAGGAATACAACTCAGTCCATAATACTACTCAAAAATGAGTTTTGCAAAACTATGTAGTAAAACAGAACATACTTTTAATACATGAAATAAGAATACAGAAACAACACATGCAATATTATTAAAATCATGGTGAGAAAAACTTAGAAAAAAAAACTCTTCAAAGAAAAATGCCAATATGTTAACTGTGGTTGACTCAGTATGACAAACTATGAAGGTCTCATTTTTTTCTTCTTTTTAAAACTCTTTACTTTCCAGGTTTTAATAAAAATGTATATACAGTTTTAGAATTATGCTGAAAGAAGTAAGTGTGTGAGAACATACCTGCATGTCAACTCATCAAGAAGAACTGATTCAGAGACTATTCTATTACTTTTGAAGTGCAAGTGGGTCTGTGAGGCAAGAAGGACACAGACAATGCAGATCCTGGTCATGTGGAGGGATGGCACCTGTATACCTTGGTCAGAGCTCAGAGGACACATGGTTGGCCCTCAGTAAGCGTTTATTAAACTCAATGTTTCTGCAGTAAGACAGCAGCTGGATACTCTGGGTGACCATGGGAAAATCAGCCTTTGATATTTGGAAGAATTGACTTTTGCCAAAAGTGTATATGCTTGATTGGAAGTATGTTATTAATACATTTATTGTATCTGAAATGCTATGCACTGCTGATCAATTTAATAGTCTTACGGTGTTAAGTATTTTACTTCCAGAAAATGAGAAATGTAATTGATTCACTTTCACTCTTTGTAGATGAAGTGTTTGAGTAGAATTCTAGAATGTCAAGATATCAGATATGCATGTTCCTGCCTTTTGAGAGGTCCACAATTGTAAATCAAATTCCTGCAGCATCTAAAGAATAAATCTGCTTTAAACTTGTAAGCTCCTTTCCTATATGCTATTCAAGTACTCTAATATTTCCTTGTAGACTAATGACTTAGAAATAATGACCTTTGAGAAGGAAATAGGAGAGTGATTTCTCAAGATTTGAAATAATCTAGTCTTAATTATGTAGTAATGTCAAGTATAGACATCACAGCATTCATAATACCTGTCACGGTACACAGTTTTACAAAATAATAATTACCTTTTAATGCCTGTTTTTAGAAAACGAATTTAACAAACTTGGCTTGTCAGTTCTTTCTCAGAATCTCTTTTTAAAAATTGCTCCTGTGTATGAATAATTCTTCATTCTGTCTGCATAAAGCCAGAGACATGAAATTTAGTCACCTTTCCACCCTTACTTTTCTATGCTGCCAGCTCTCTCTCATCATCTACCAGGACAGTGGTTTTTGATGCCACAAGTATGAAGAAAATGATTCAGGGAATTGTTTTCTTTCCTATTTTACTTTTATTTTTTGAAGAAAGAACTGGAAGGTGGTTTCTATGTGTACCTCTAGACCTCTCTACAAACCACTCTGGAGACAATCCTGCCAGCAAAGTGGCCAAATACTATGGGAGGCAATGGGGAAACCACTGTAACTCTACCCTAAGCAAGGCCACAGGTTTTAGCTCTTCGGCCTTTGGAGTAGTGGAGCAATTCTCAGTTCTTTTTAAAACTACTGTAGTTTTAAATGTCTGTTGCCTCCCTCTCTCTTATGTGTCTTGAATTCTTCCTCCTTTGCTGGATGTCGGTTCTTAGGGACTGGTTTCTCTGCACTCAAACCCATCTCCTTTCTATCCTTGCCATCTATGAGCCTTGATTTTCCCTGATATCATTTTTTGCTCAAATGCTTCTCCTTCTGAAACATGCTAAATGGTGATTTTATTTGGGTAGTTTACTGTATGACATTGTATTAGTCAGTGACTGGGCAATTTACAAAAGAAAGAGGTTTAATTGGACTTCCACGTAGTTGGGGAAGCCTCACAATCATGGTGGAAGGCAAGGAGGAGCAAGTCACGTGGCATGGATAGCAGCAGGAAAAGAGAGAGCTTGTGCGGGGAAACTTGCCTTTATAAAACCATCAGATCTCACGAGACTCATTCACTATCATGAGAACAGCATGGGAAAGACCTGCCCCCATGATTCAATTACCTCCCACCAGGTCCCTCCCACAACACGTGGGAATTCAAGATGAGATTTGGGTGGGGACACAGCCAAACCATATCAGACATGTTGCCATATTGATATTACTTGCATATTTACTTTACTTCATGTTTACAAGAAATCTGGGAGATTTTGAGGGGCCAGTGACTAAAATAATCATCCTTAGTTCCCTGTGCTTACTATAGTTATTCCCTGAAACACAATAAAGACTTAAGCTTGTGTTATAAGCTTTGGTGATAAAAAACCAACCTTGGGCTACCAAAAATTTTTAAAGTACTATTAATGAACAGTTTTTTTCCCTTACAGTGGTCATAATTAGAGGGAACGAAAAGGATTTTATTTAGATGACTGCTGGTTTTTGTTTTTGTCCTGAGGCTTCTCTGTATATTCTGAGCTTTTATAGCAAACGTGTATTATTCAGTTAATAGAAAAACTAAATGTCATCAAGATGAAAATAAAAGACATTTTTGACACATAATTCATATTACTCTGAGTCTGCACAAATGCCAGCTACATAAATGTGCCAGTATGCTACTGAATCTGTGTACTTTAAAGGAGATAATATTAATTATTTATTTAATGCTGGCTACCTGTCAGGCTCATCTGTAGGTGCTTTCCATGTATTTTATTGTTCAAACTGTACTTTGGCCCTGGGAAGTGGGTGTTTTCATAGGTCTCATTTTAAAGATGAGGAAGTTGAAACTCACACAGTTTAAGGATCTTACCCTAAGTCATCAAGCATGTAAAAATGACAGGTGAGTGATGAACCCTAGGAGAAAGGCACCAGTGTCCACGCTTCAGCCAAGACATCTACACTGTCACTCAGATGACAGCGCAAATTTTTATAGTACTTTACAGTTTACAAAAGGCAGCACTTTTTATAGCACATGATAGTTTACAAAAGATAGCACTTTTTGCCTTGATATAAGATTTCTTGGCAAGTCACGGAACAGGTATAAGATTTTTGATATAAGATATCCTGACAAGCCATAGGACAGCTATCACTATTTCCATCTTAATGATGCAGAAACTGGAGTTTAGGGAGGTTAAATGTCCCACCCAAGGCCAGGCATTTAGCAAACAACAAAGTTAAGACCAGAAATCATGTCTTACGACTTCAAGCCCTGGCTTACATGTTCTCTGTATTGTAATTAACAGTTATAGGAGAGAATATGTCAGTACATACATGAAAAGGTGATGTTTAACACAGAGATAATGCTACTATATATAACAATGCGTATACAGGTAATCCATTCACTAAAACAAAGGGGAAAAATCAAGATAAATACTTTTGAAGTACTTAGTGCACATGAATTGTGCAAATTTTTGAGCGTATTCCCCAAACAAGTAAAGTTAAATAACTGTGTAAGTCTAGTTCAAAATCTCATTATAGAATAGCAAACCAGCAATATTTCAAAACTAATGAAAATTTTTTTTTCTGGCTCTTAAAAACAATTGTTTAAATGAGTTTCCTTTCCTTTTCCTTTCCTCTAATTATGAGTACTCTGAGGGAAAAATCAGTTTATATAAATATAATAATATTTTTAAAAATCCTTATAGCATAACTTTGCATTTTTATCACTGAAGCTCATAAACTGAACTTGAGCTTTTATTGTTTCCCAGGGAATGACTATAGCTGAACACAGACAAATAAGGAGGATGGTTTTAATCACTGGCCCCTCAAGATCTCCCAGATTTCTTGTGAAAGTGAAGCAAAATAAATATGCAAGTAATATCAATGTGCCAACATATCTAAGCAGTAAGCTAAATTTTCCTAAATAACAATCTACAAAATAAAATTTTAATTTGTTAGTACTGTGTATATAGTAAGAAACTATACAAAATATTAAAAAATAAGATGGTATTTTCTGTATAAAAATTGTATGGCCGGGCACAGTGGCTCACACCTGTAATCCCAGCACTTTGGGAGGCGGAGGCGGGTGGATCACGAGGTCAGGAGACAGACACCATCCTGGCCAACATGGTGAAACCCCGTCTCTACTAAAAATACAAAAACTTAGCTGGGTGTGGTGGCATGCGCCTGTAGTCCCAGCTACTCAGGAGGCTGAGGCAGAAGAATCTCTTGAACCCGGGAGGCAGAGGTTGCAGCGAGCTGAGATGGCGCCACTGCATTCCAGCTGGGCAACAGAGCGAGACTCCGTCTCAAAAAAATAAAATTGTATACAGAAAAGAGTAAAACATTTCAATAATCAGTTCCATCTTTCCTTGCATCATTTCTATGGTTCATTTTTTGGTCTGCAGCATAGACACCAATGAAAAATAAATACACGACTCTACAAGGTTAAAAAAAAGACTGATAAAAATAAAAGTGTAGCCTGTATTAAAACAACCTGTACATATTATTAATATTTTAAAATAAAAGATACTGATTTTTGTTTATATTGAAAATGCAGATTAAGATTAGTGTGATAATTTTAGGATATTGTTTATCTTAAAATACAAAGGATGACTCCATTTTTATTCAATTCAATTTTCATATGCCCACCAATGGGCAAGGAAATGGAACATTTTAATCCCTTTGATTTTTAAGCTCTGATCCTTAAGGTAAAAATGAAATACAATATTTTTAAATCAGAAGAAGGGAAATCATCTCTACTGTTATACACCAAACAGCCAAAAAATATTAATTCACCATGATGCAAGAGTGAATTCACATTTCATAAGCACTTTCTGCCAAATAATGTCTAAGACCTTTCCTTATTTTTTGGAACGTTAAGCCTTGTTTTAAAGATTCAGAACTTAGAGGGTTCATTTGCCCAAGGCCACTGTGTGGAAGCAGAGGCATAATCATATGCCTGAAATGGATGAGCTCCCTAGAACCTGTGACAAATTATTTGTGTTTTCACAGTGAGGCAGAGAAGGATCTTGCATTCATTGTTGACTTCATGCCTCAAGATACTGTGAAATTGTCTTCATTACAATCATAAGTTTTTAGGTTTGTATCGATCATCTAATTCTTTATGAATAAAACAAGTTCGAGAGGTGGAAGAGCTCAATTATTTTTGACATATGTAAATATGCTCTAACTAGGTTATATATTTTGGAGTGCTTATTTTTGTCTTTAATTCTCTTAAGCTCCATAGATATCTAACGGTCTGAAGCCTGCATATCATACAAACAGCATAATGCTCACGGCACCCCAATACACAGTATCTAATAGATGAATTATTGCTATATGAAAAGGGATTGGAAATCATCTTTCTGAAATATGGCTTTCTGTCATTCATATATTAGCCAGAGGCTAACATATCTTTTATTCATATTGGAAAAATAAGCCCTATCAGGTATGAAATTGAAGGAAACCCTACACATTTATCTCCTAATCTAATATCACCAAAGCATTAAATGAATCCAAATTAAAGGATATTCCTGCATTTCACTTGCATGGCATATCCAAAGTGTCTTTTCACTCTAATAAGACACGGTCAAACTATGGGCTGACCTCAGCCTTTCCTACCACCCTCACCTTGCCCCCACTATCTTGGGTTTTCCCACTTCTCACCTCTACAGAGACAATTACAAGGAAAGGCTATCCAATTTCTAAGGTTTCTTCTAATTAAACCAATTCAAAAATAATATAATTATGACAGTCAAGAAGCAAACTTGCCTCTAAATATTAGTCCGCTTGGGCTGCCATAACAAAATGCCACTGGATGCCTTAAACAACAGACATTTATTTTTCAGAGTTCTAGAGGCTGGGAAGTTCAAGACCAAGATTTCAGCCAATTTGGTTTCTGGTTAGGGCTCTCTTCCTTGGCTTGCAGAATGCCACCTTCTCATATGGTCTTTGCATGAGAAGAGAGAGAGAGAGAGATCCTACCCTTATGGCCTCATTTATGCTTTATTACCTCCTAAAACCCATATCTCCAAATACAGTTGCATTGGGGGTTGGGGCTTTAATGCAGAAATTTGGGGAGTTTCAAAATTCAGACCATGATACTCTGAAGAGTCTAAGAATTACTAGAACTTCATGAACAAAAAGGGGATGGAGAGAGTCTACTTTGAACTGTGTAGCCATGATTTTGTAGAGAGCCAAAGGTAACAATTACCATACTTCTCCTTCAAAGCAGTGTGAAGGAAATATGCAGGAAGCACAGGCGTGCATGAACACAGAGCAGGGATACAAACACTGCACGTGATCTGGTTTCTTACTCCTAAATGCACTTAAGATGTACACTTACAAAGTACATGAACAAAATTCATAGAAACTGTTGGAAAAATTAAAGAATCAACGTAAGGTCAGAATGTACTGAAGCCAAAACAAACAGATGAAAAAATCTGTCTTCTCTTTAGCCAGGTCCTTTGAACAATTAAATGCTACAATTTTCTTTAAGTCTCACTCCTGCAATTTCCCAAGTTTCACCATGGAGAAACTGTTCCCTTACTCCAGTGTAAAGCCTTTACATTGGTGGTTGCTGTCTGTTTTTTTCCTTACAGGAAGAACAAACGGTATCAGCATCTTCTCTCAAGTAGCTCTTCCTGAGTTCAAAGATCATTGAATTTCCTATTGGCAAGCACTTCAGTTTTCATAACTTTTCCTGCCTTTTGTTAGGTTATTAATTTTTGTGATTATCCTGCAAACCCTCTTCAAATTGTCCATGTTCCTCTTGAGTAATGGAACCAATTTACTCATTAGAGTCTAATCAGGTTTGAGTATAACAGCAGGATTACCTTGTGGTCCTTTCATGTTATTTTTGAAAATAGATGACAATATTTCAAAACAGTGAGACACACAGTCCCTTCTTTAACCTCAGCTGCTATTTCTTACTCAAGGAGAGTTCATTTAAAAAAATAACTAACCACAGATTTTTAATTATTGTTGATACAGAAATCTCTCTGAGCAGATTTAAACTCCAATGTGTTGATTCTTGGACCTTAGTTCATGTAAACTTTATAGATACTCTGCCCCATCAAAAAGCCTGGTCCATCCATATACAAAGTTCATAGGAAGATGAGGTGTATCATCATGAACAAGGCCAGGTCCTTCAAAAAACACATGCCTAAATGTATCTCCCAGCCTGACTGATACCAGCCTGTTACTATTTATCTGGAAGATATTACTGTTTTGCTCAAGATGCCTAAGAGCAAGACCCTTTCTTAGATATGGAGGAAGGAAACCGGAGTAGATTTCTGGAAAGGAGTCTCGAGGAAACTGATGTAAGACACTGGTGACATTTAAAATCGCTAATTCATTTTGAGATCATCCCCTGGGGTCTCTTGCCCCAGGATCCTTATCAAAACACTAAAATAAGTACTCTTTGATTTCATGACTTCACAGTTGATCTTTCCAGACATTTAGTCTTTAGGGGGGATTCTCAAATGGTGTGTCCTTTGGAGCTTGTAAGCCTTGAGTCTAAAGCAGACATCCTATTTCACATCAAAATATGGAGACAGACATTTAATTCACTATTTATGTATATATCTAAATTAGGAGACATTAGCACGACTGAGGAAAAAAAGGTTAATAACACATAAAACATTTAGAGTTCATTTAAATTTATGAGTGGCTGTTTTCTCCGTAGGAACAATATATAACATTTAAAACTGATGAATAACTATATGATAAGATCTCCAGATAGGCGTGAGGGCCACAGCTTCATATAATTCTAATCTGTCTTCAGGTAACAGCTTGATAGTTACTCTCGCAAGTTGACATTTTGTTTAAACTGAATACATAGACTATATTATCGATGTGTCTTGGCTAAATGATGAAAAGCTTGTAGCTTCTGACCTTTAAAATATTTTCTTTCTTTTTTTTTTGTAGGAATCAGGAAAATGTTCTAACAACATGTTGAGTGAGGTAAAATTCTTTGAGCAAACACCAAGGCAGAACCATAATATTTGTAAAAATTACTCTCACAACCCAACCATTGCAAGTTCTTCACTGCACTTACCAGTATCTCTTTTTATATGTCTGAAGGGATCCTGCAAGTTTCAAATAAAAGCCAGCTGCTTCCTGAAAATCTTAAATTTGCCCTTGAAGCCCATCACTGCCCAGCTCTCACTCTGTGACCATGGGGGTCTGGTGACCTGAATGGGACTGCTCCTGGATTCCCCCAGCAGCAGGAAGAGCTCAGCTCATGACGCCTCCCATTAGAGTCCAGCAAAATTTCCTGAGTGATATAAGGTCTTTGCTTCCCTTGGTCCAGCCTAGAGACCAATAGCTAATGGTTACAGCTAACCAAAGGTATCTGCTGTTCTGCTACCCGCAGCTGGGGTCCAAACATCAACATCACTTCAACCTCAAATCCTTTGCCATTGCTCATTAACCCACTGGATCCTGTCTCCTCAGATCACTATATATACATTTAGGTACTTTGTTACAAGCAGATGAATCAGAAATATATATATATATAAAATTTTTCAGCCACTACATATCACACAAACATCCTGAATTTCTTGGAATACTAACAAAAACAACCATATGCAGCTCTTTTAAATGATGATCTTTTCCCAAGCAGAGAAGAAAATTATTGTGAATTTCCATATAAGGGGTAAATTTTGACAAATATAGTCCTATTTTTAAGTAATTTTTTTTTCTTAAGATGAGAAAGTAATTTGTGTTAAATATGCTCAATTTATGTTAATGTAGCCCCTTTTCTTGGTGATTATTTTGCCTAGCTGGGATTCATTTAGAAATTTCAGGGCCGGGTGCAGTGGCTTACACCTGTAATCCCAGCACTTTGGGAGGCTATGGCGGGCTGATCATGAGGTCAGGAGATCGAGACCATCCTGGCCAACGTGGTGAAACCCGTCTCTACTAAAAAACTAAAATTAAATTTAAAAATTAGCTGGGCGTGGTGGTGCACGCCTGTAGCCCCAGCTACTCGGGATACTGAGGCAGGAGAATTGCTTGAACCTGGGAGGCGGAGGTTGCAGTGAGTCGAGATCCCGTCACTCCAGCCTGGTGACAGAGAGACTCTGTCTCTAAAATAAAATAAAATAAATGAAAAGAAATTTCAAGTATTATATCTCCAAAAACTTGCTCTCATACAAAGTTGGAGAAATAAATTGAAATGTGAATCCATGAAATTCTGGATGGTATGGCAGAAGGAGAATGTATTGCCTTTGAAGAAAAGGAGAACTCCACCCAACAACTCTCTCTGTCTCTCTCTCTCTCTCTCTCTGTGTCTCTCTCTCTGTCTCTCTCTCTCTGTTTTAGTGTCAAGTGATCCTTTAAGCGTGTTCTGGGATGTTATGGGCTCAGAAGCATGGGCAGTCCTAGAGTTCTTACCTCCTCTCACTCCATGTGATCTCCCTGGGCAATCTTGCCTCTTCCCAGGCTTTGAATTGGCATAAAATAACATGGTATATTCCCAAATCTCCCCTAATTGGACAGCTGCTGACTGAAATCCGTACCCTGGACACGGAATATCTACATGTGTATCCTAGTACTTTACACCTTCCTCTACCAGAATATAACCTCCACAAAGGCACAGGCTTTTCCGTTTTATTTGCTGTGTTAGCATCAATGCCTAAAAGAATGTTTGGCACAGAATATGCAGTCAATAGATATCCCGCTGTTAGGATCTCTGAGAAAGAGAAAGCAAACTCTCTGAAGACGTAGTGCAAAGTTGTGGAAGTAAACGAAATCCCTCCTCCAACATAAGTTGAATACATTTGAGGCATAACTGTATGTTTTCTAATGTGCAGCAATATTAAAAATCTATTTCACAAACGCTGCTATTTTGTAATCCTTTTAACTCTTATTAAAAAATACTTTAGAGAAATTTATATTTTTATTCATTTTTTCATTCCTTTATGTAAGCAACATTTAGCCTAAATTTGAATGTCAGTCTTTCTGCGTGCACAAAGGAAGTACTCAAAGCTAAGGCAACATTGGTTCCTTATCCTCCTGCATCTTACATTTTTGACATTTCAATATAGAATCCTTCTCTGAAAAAAAAGTAAACTGAGAAAAATCTCATCCTATATTTTTCAACAAAAAAGATTAGTGATTATTAACATTAAAACAAATCACATTTTTACTCTAATTGTTATTGAAAACTCCCATAGAAAGGGTTAGAGAATTTGTAAATAAATGTAGTAGTATTGTATTAGAAAGAAGGTAGTATACTTTAATTACCATCTTTAATTTTTGAATCTTTGAATAGCAATCTTTAATTATGACTTAATCAATGGTGAATTTATCATAATACTGCAAGCCAAAGTCATATACACTTTCATTGTATATGAAAAGCAAGGAAATAAATAAGATTGCAGGGCAAGTTTAACTATCCTAAGAATACAAAATGACTTAAAATAATTTAGAAATGTATATTATATATACATATATAAATATATAATATATAAAAATAAAATATATAAATATATATATTATATAATATATATTATATTGAATAATGTATTATATATAATATTGTATATTATATTGAATAGTGTATTATATATTATATTGAATAATGTATTATATATAATATTATATATTATATTGAATAATGTATTATATATAATATTATATATTATATTGCATAACATATAATATTATATATTATACCGAGTAATATATTATATATATTATGTATTATACTGAGTAATATATTATGTATAATATATTATATTATATGGAGTAATATATAATATCATATAATATATGTTATATAAATAAATGGGAATATATGTAAATATTATATATTGTATTAAACATATATAATATATATTATAGTATATTGAATAATATATAATATATAATATAATATATTTATAAATATGATATGTAAATATATTTATATATATTTATATACATATTTATATTTATATATTTAAAACCCAAAACAATGCTTTCAAATTAACGGGAATATATATGCACACACACACAAACACACACAAATATCTATACGTACATATATATAAAATACCCACATATACATATATATGTGTATATATGTATTATATATTATTTAATAATAGATTATATAATACATATATGTGCATGTGTTTTATATATAATACATGTGTATGTGTATGTGTATATTATATATATGTATTTTTTTCCTTCTGCAAATAGATCAGTGAAAAACCTTGCAATATATTAAAAGAAAAAGTAACAAAGTATCAAAACTCCCAATTTTTTTCAGGCTGGCAACTACCTTAAGAGCAGTTTTGTGTATTAATGTGAAGCATCAGTATTCATGACACATTTAAGAGCAGTCGTATTTGATGGTGGTAAGAACATACATCCATGCATCACTTAGCGACATTAACATGTTCTAAGAAATGTGTCATTAGGTAATTTCATTATTGTGTGGACATCATAGAGGGTACTCACACAAACCTAGATGGCATAGTTTACTACATACCTAGGTTATATGGGATAGCCCATTGCTCCTAGGCTACAAACCTATGCAACATATTACTATACTGAGTATTGTAGGCAATTGTAACACAATGGTATTTGTGCTATCTAAACATATCTGAACATAGAAACAGTAGTTATTATGTTATGGGAGCACTGTTCTATTGTGGTCTGCCTTTGACTGAAGCATCATTATGCAGCACGTGGCTATGTGTGTAAACTCTAATGAATATTTTCTTAACTGTCCCTGGTTAAAACATGTCACATTTATATTAATAAAGGCATGTTTTTATGACCTCATAATGTACATATGGCAAATTTGTTAAATTTGTTCAATGTTAAAGAGTTTGAAACTTAAAAAGAATGGAATTAACTATGCAGTAAGTTAATGATTAATTTTAGTATTTCTAAGTACTATCAATATGATCTAATTCACTCAGAAAGACCATGATGCTCTGATAAATAACGACGGATTAGCAATACTACATGATATTGCCCTGGAATATTATCACTTATAAAGCATGCTAATGAATAATCTCTGAACCACCACCAGAGTTACAAAAGTGGCAGGGGCTGCCATTAAAATGAGTTATTAACAAATAAACTAAAGTGATAAATCAAATATAAAACTTGTACAAATATTCTTAGTAAAAATGGATCAATTATTCTTGGACATCAAAGGACATAGCTACCATTTTATTATTTTTCCAAGCATATTATTATTTTATTATTATTAAAATATAGTATCAATAAAATAATAATGTAATAGATAATCTTACATATATTAAGACAATCAATACATATTGAATGAATGGATAACATTTGATATTAAGTAATAGCTATTTTTCTTAAGAGAGCATCATATATTTTAAAGCACTTATGTTAATAATATGAAGTAAATTGAATGCCATTCCCTGTTATTAAAGCTATTAAAATCTTAGAAAGCAGGTATATTACATTTTTCTCTATTTGAACTTTCTTCCAACAGGTGAATGGGGCAGTCAGTAGCAGTTCAAGTTAATGAAACTCTCTGCTGATCTTTCTGAATGCTCCAGAATGTGGAGCAAATTAGTTGATTGCATAATTTCCCTAGCTGTAAAATGATGATAAATCAAGAAATTCATGGATCCGTTAAAATTCAACCAGAAAGCATTTATTCAGTGACCACTTTGCACTGCCATTAGGGACAAAGTACTATGATGAATATGGTGAGGATTCCAGTCCTCAAGGAACTCACAGTCTGAGGAGTAGCAATAAATGAAATTGATAAAGTATAGTGCAGAGTGGTGAATTCTGCGTAAATATGAAGGAAGGGCTCTGGGGAAAGACATGGAGAACTTTTAACTCTGCCCAGGGAAGGGTGAGCAGAAGGAGGGATAGGCATCACTGAACAGGTGACACTGGATCTGAGTCTTGAAGGTGAACACCAATTTCCCAGGAAAGAGGGCTCTGTGTAGTCCAGGCAGGATGAGCAGCACATGCAAGTATACTGTTTAGATAATTCCCAGAAAATCATAAAATACTGGAGCAGTGGAACATATGATTCACAGAAGGGAACAGCTTCAGATGAGCTCCCATAGAAACTCTGCTGTTTTATGATAAGTTTATAGAACAAAGCGCCTATAGGCACCATGGAATCAAGAGTTTTTAAGGTAGTGAGTAACAGAAGTCCATTTTTTTAAAATTATAGATTACTCTGGAATCAGTGCAGAGGAGAAATTAATGTGAGACAAAACTGATGGTAGAAAGATCATGAAGGAGACTATTAAAGAGCATATTAGAGTCATTCAGTTGAGATGAGAAGGCAACCAGTGGCAGGAGGCGTGATGGGGAGTCAACGACAGAACACAGTTTTTTTGTTTGTTTGTTTTTGTTTTTGTCTTTGTTTGTTTTGAGATGGAGTCTTGCTCTGTTGCCCATCATTCAGTTGAGATGAGAAGGCAACAATGGCAGGAGGCAGTGACAGGGAGTCAATGACAGAACACAGTTTTTTTTGTTTGTTTTTTGTTCTTATTTTTTGTTTGTTTGTTTGTTTTGAGATGGAGTCTTGCTCTGTTGCCCAGGCTGGCATGCAATGGCACGATCTCAGCTCACTGCAACCTCCGCCTCCTGGGTTTAAGCAATTCTCCTGCCTCAGCCTCCCGTGTAGCTGGGACTATGAGCACACACCACCATACCCAGCTAATTTTGTATTTTTAGTACAGATGGGGTTTCACTATGTTGGCCAGGCTGGTCTCGAATTCCTGACCTCAGGTGATCTGCTCACCTCAGCCTCCCAAGGGACTGGGATTACAGATGTGAGCCACTGCACCTGGTCCAGAACACAGTTTTGAGAGGTACCACAACCCAATGCACGAGAGGAGCAGGAACTTCTCATTATTGCTTTGTTTGTACTATAATGTTTGGAGAAGTGCATGGCAGAATACAAACGACTATGGGTTACAACCCCCTTCTTGTAAGAAAACCAATGAATTGCCACTAATAGTGAACTGGGGAGATAATATGATATTTAAGAAGTACTTGCTTTGTGGTGGATACTCATTTATTCCTCACAAAACTCCCGGGAAGAATATATGACTATTTTTACTTTTACAGATGAAGAAACTGAAGCTCAGAGAATTTAAATACCTTTCCTCAAATTATAGAGCCACCCAGGTCCCGGCTGGAGTTCTGTGGCTGGGAGAACAGAAACAGTTGCAGAGTAAGACAAAGCCATAACATGTGTCATGAATCGTGATATTCATTAAAGCCGAAATGCCCTGTGAAATCAGAGAAGGTAGGCAGAGGTTAAAGAACAGGGAATTCCAGTGACATGGTGAGTGGGCCTAGAGCAAGAGAGGATACAGAAGAAGATGCAAGGGAGAGGTTTTTCTGCTGATTTTATTTTTGTTTCTGTTTTGTTTACTTTTAAATACATGTCCTCACACAGGTGCTTTTGGTTCACCTACAAACACCCCCTATTCTTATCTTTTCCCCTCCAATCTCCAATCTCACTCTCTCCATCCACTGTCCCAGAAAATTCTCATCCTCTCTCCATATGCCATCCTCTCTTTTCTTTTCCTTCTCTTCTCTTTTCTTTCTCTTTCTCTTTCTTTCTTTCTTTCTTTCTCTTTCTTTCTCTCTTTCCTTTCCTTTCCTTTCTTCTTTCCTCTCTCTCTCTCTCTCTCCTTCCTTCCTTCCTTTTTTTCTTTCTTTTTTCTTTTTTTTGAGACGGAATCTCGCTCTGTTGCCCAGGCTGTAGTGCAGTGGCATGATCTCAGCTCACTGCAACCTCTGCTTCTCAGGTTCTAGCGCCAACATGCCCGGCTAATTTTTTTGCATTTTTTAGTAGAGATGGGGTTTCACCATGTTGCCCAGCCTGGTCTCGAACTCCTGACCTCAAGTGATCCGCACTCCTCGGCCTCCCAAAGTCCTGAGATTACAGGCGTGAGCCACTGTGCCCAGCCCATACACCTTCCTTTCTTATTTGCATTTGTAAACTTTCAGGGATTACCCAGTATCATCCTTAAGGCAATCCCTGAGACATTTGGGTCTGGATAATTCTTTGTTGTGGGGGACTGTCCTGTGCATGCCAGAAAGTCTGCATCAATACCTGTTAGGGGACTCACCCAGGGACTGGGCCATAGCAGTGCCCTGTAACAGCAAATTAGTCAAGCAGATTAAAGGGGAAACAACTTACTTAATTGTTCTGTGGTGGCAGGCATGAATTCTACCACTGAACCACCCATGGTTTTATTCTGGTAAAAAATTGGTTTGTTTAAAAAATCTTCTCCCACACGGGAATATGGGTTAGGAATCCTAAATACATGAATTACTTATTCCCTGAGGCACAGTATGTTGTTATACTGGAGAATGTAATTTAACTTCAAAGTGAAATTTCACAATTGCTGAGAAAAATAATTTGACATGTGAAAAGCTTATATTATTGCTAAGATCATCCTATTGCTTTGGACCATCTTTTTTTTTTCTAAAATGCAAAAGTGAAGCAATATATAGCATATCATCTTTAACTGGGTTTAAGCTTTGCCAAGAAAAGTCAGAGATTTCATAGAAAAATAGAGGCAAGAGAATGATCCAAATGCTTCTTAGAAAGTTTACTTAGGTAATATATTACCTGACTGGATGACTTCAGAAGCTATTCAGCTGTTCACAAGTAGAGCTGTTTCTATACCAGACTAGAGTTTGCAGAGATGCTGTCGAATTTTATCTCTTAATGTTTGTCCACATGACTCTAGCAAAGTTGTTAAAGATAAGAGGCCTCGATTAGGAATCTTTAGACCTAGCACATCTCCTTAATATGGCAGAAAAAAGTAAAAAAGACTTTAAAGATGAAAATAATGGTGAAAAGAAAAGGTTTGGGCAGTTATGCCTGAATAAAATCTAGATGAGCTGCTAATAAAAGTATTAGCTATTTTGGCCCTTTGACTTTGTCCAAATCCTTTAAAAACGATGTCTCTCTCTCTCTGCTTCAGCAGAGCACACCAGATATAGTCTTCTAATCTGATGAATTACCATTTTTATTGCTCATTACTTCATGTATCTAGTTCATTGGTTAAGTCACTTCCTAGATTTGGTATAATTTCATCTGCTTGTGTTTAAAATAAAAATGCATTGGATGTGAATTATTCATTTACTCATTCCACAAATATTTACCTAAGTCTAATATGGCCTAAGCATTGAGGATGTTGGGAGAATACATCTTTTGTTCCAAAATAATCACACCCAAAAGTCAATACGTTGGTCAACGTGTACAAAGTAACACTTAAAAAGGGGGAATGAGTCTTGATGTTCTATAACACAGTAGGGTGACTGTGGTTAACAATACTGTATTGTCTATTTCAAAGTAGCTAGAAGAGAGGATGTTGAATGTTCTTACTGCAAATAAATGAGGTGACATGATATGCTAAATAGCCTAATTAAATTTTTATACAATGTACACATGTATCCAAACATCACACTTTACCCCCATAAATATGTACAATTATTACGTGTCAATTAAAAACAAAAAGTCAATGAAAGGTGCCAGAGAAATAACAGATACAAAAAAATTTTGCTAAACAGTAAGTAGACATTAACAAACATATATTTTTGAAGCATTTGTTGTATTAACATAAAATAATACAAACCTTAACAATCAACTCAAAATTACCAAGTGTCCATGTTGTATCTGCCATATAATAAACAGAGGGCATATTTATATTTTACGTCAGTTTTTTTTTTAATGAATCCTAACCAATAGCATGTCAGTTTTACGGAAACTCTCTGATTAAAGGGAGTTAATAGCAAATAAAACAAATAGTAGAAAATTCAAGATGAAGTAAGCTTAATCCAAGGTTAATTTCAGATACTATTAATTTCTCTCCCAGTAGCTCTTCCATGTAGTGGCAAAATGATGGATTTTTCAGAGATTTTAATTTGCCTTTATTCTGAACCCAGACATTCAAGAATATAAGGAATTTAGAAGAAAAAAATGGTGCTTTACATTAGTTGAAAAGCTCTGCCTGTACTAATGTACAACTCTAACATATAAGGGATATCGCTGCCTGAATCCTTTCAAAGAAATTCCTAAAATGGCTTGAAAGGAATCTGTGACCTCATTACAGCTCTATTCACGAAGGAGAAGAATTGTACACGAGGCCAGTCCATCTTGATCCCAAAAGGAAACACAAAGACATCTCATTAATAAACACTGTTCCTTAATGTGCCTCTAGAGATGCTCAGTGTGTGTATGTTTGTGTGTCTCTGTATTTTGGCCCCCATTTTTATTCCAAAATAAATATTTAAGAGGAAGCTTAAAAGATCAGCTGTTTTTTTAAACACAGAACAGCCCTGCACGGGCATATTATTTGGATAAATTAGATCTGCAAACACACTTTAGCTTTGCTGATGAAAATAATTTAGAATAAAGAAGGTAACCATGCCTCACATGTTGATTCAACACCTTATAACATCTTTCTTTTTTTTTGAGACCAGTTATTGCTCCCAGGCTGGAGTGCAGTGGCATGATCATAGCTCGCTGTCATCTTAAACTCCTGGGCTCCAGCCATCCTCCCACCTCAGCCTCCCAAGTATTTAGGACTACAGGTGTGCACCACCACACCAGGCTAATTTTTAAATTTCTTTTATGTAGAGACAGGATGTCACTACGTTCAGCTCAGGCCGGTCTCGACTCCTGGTCTCAACTGAATCTCCCACCTTGGCCTCCCAAAGTGCTGGGATTACAGGCATGAGCCACTGTACCCAGACTAATTTATAACATCTTTATTGGTCTCAGTTACTTGAATGTCATATACATGTTTTTAGCTACGTTTTTAAACACAGAGGCTTGATCTTTTTTATAGTCTTTCACTGATCATTTTTACACTGATGGTGTAAACACTGATGGTTTCATGTTGAAGACAGGATAAAATAGTGATTGTGCCATGCACCAGGGATGTGGGCACAGACCCAAATTTCCACTTAGCTTCAATGTGGTTTGAATTTATGAAGGTCTTTATAAATCCCAATTAAAATACCTGCAAAGGTAACTTTTCTGAAGAAAACTTTCTTATGACACCTTATCTTCTTCCCTTCCCATGGGAAATGTAACCATGGGCATAAGAGTCTACAGTAAAGATTTCAGTGGCTAAAACAATGGTGATATGGTTTGGCTGTGTCCCCACCCAAAACCCAATTTGAATCATATCTCCCAGAATTCCCACGTGTTGCGGGAGGGACCCAGGGGGAGGTAATGGAATCATGGAGACTGGTCATTCCTGTGCTATTCTTGTGATAGTGAATAAGTCTCATGAGATCTGATGTGTTTATCAAGGGTTTCTGCTTTTGCTTCCTCCTCATTTTTCTCTGGCTGCTGCCATGTAAGAAGTGCCTTTCACCTCCCGCCATGATTTGAGGCCTCCCCAGCCATGTGGAACTGTAAGTCCAATTAAACCCCTTTTTCTTCCCAGTCTTGGATACGTCTTAATCAGTAGCATGAAAACAAACTAATACAAATGGTTTATAAGGTCACTTAGGAGAAAAAAAAAAGTCTCCTCCGCAGTTCAAATAAAATGTTATTCATTAGTGGGAAGGAAGGTCATCTACATGTCTGAGCAGAAGGAGAAAAGACCTCAGCCACAAGCACTCCAACCACACACACACACACACACATGCACACACCAAATTCTGTTATTCTGCCTAAAAATTCACCCATATCAAATTTTGTTGGCTGAATCATACAACTTAGGAAGGAGAGACATTTAACACACTTTGGTAGCTGTGACATAAAATTAATCTTATCGTAGTGTCACTACCAAATTACAACATCCCTTTGATCCTATGTAAGGTGCAATCAGGACCCTGATTGGGTGGCAATCTGTTGGATAGGTAAACAATGTCTGTCATTTCTATACTTGTGAATTACTTTTGGCCTAAGGATCACTATGGGTCACTTCTGGGAGGAGAAGACCAAGCAGAAGGTACTGCTACAGCTTTTGTAGTCTTCTTCCATTTGCTCCTAAAATTTAATGCTTCAATGACTCAATCCTTCAACAAAGACTGAAGTCAGATTCTTCATTCAACCTAGTATAAATGATCACCCTAAATTATTATTATTATTACTATTATTATTGAAGATGGTGAAGCAGGAGTCAACCAGATATTTTCTATAAAGACAATTACTCTGGCTATTGGATGAAGCACGGATTGAACAGGACAAGAATAGAAATAAGATGATTTAGGGACATCAGAGAAGAGTGGTGAGATGAGGAAGTGATGTATGTGACTTGGACTTGGGAGATGTTTTTACACAAAGAGAAGGGAAGGTATTAGGGCAGTGGCTGCACAATGGAATAATTTGAGGAACTTTAAAAAATTCTGAAGCCCGCGGTCCACCCTGAGAGGTGTTGATTTAATCTTCTGCGGTGAAGCCGGAGAACCAGTATCTCTTCACAGTGAAGGTTGAGACCTATGGGCTCAGAGCGGACTGTGAAGGACTGGATGGGTTAGACGCAGAAATTAAGAGGAAGAATTTCTGACCATTTACAGAGAAAGAGAAGACTGGGAATCCAGATTTTTATGTGAACTGTCCTGATTTTTTGATTTGGCAATTTCTTAGTTATCATGCATACAAATTTGTGTAGGCCCAAAATAAATAATAAAATAAACGAACTAAGGTGGATCTGACAAGCAGATGACCAGTTGCAATTTCTGCCTTAAATCAGGGACATTAATCTCTAATCATGGATTTCAGACTCTCACAGAATGTAAAAGTAGAACTCTTTGGAAAACCTTAGAAACACATCTGTTAATTACTTCATACATCTCTAAGAATAAACGTGACCTGGTACATTTGGGACATTGCAATTAGAGGTGAATTTATCTACTCTCTCTCACTCTCCCTCCCTCCTGTTCAGATTTAAATAATAACGCACTTCCCAAGGAAGTACAGAAACCTTCCCAAGGCCATTGTTAAGTAGTAGAGTTAGGTCTTGAGCTCACACCTGATTAATTATCCTCTGTGCTACTTCCCAATTTCCCAAACTTCATTTTCAACATACTTCTGATGGGGGCAGGGGAGGAGGCAGAGGCAGGTGAGTTGTTATGTAGTTTTCCTGTTGAAAATAGAATTTATGGGGCACTTTTCCAAATATTTATAAGTATTTCAACAAGCCTGCTATATTTTTAATAATATTTTAAAAAGTTGCATACAAGTAAGCAATCAATCTTGTAATAAAGTATCCCTTAGTCATTGCATACTATATATACAAACACACACATGCATATATTATGTAATAGGTGTCGTGACATACCTATGTCTATATCTATCTATCTATCTATCTATCTATCTATCCATCTATCTACCTATCTATGTTACATACTCACAAACAGTGCTCATCCAAGTAAGTCTGAATTAGACAGAAGCTACAGGCTGACATATTTATATATAGTGAGAATCTACTTTCAGAATATCCTTCAAGAGAATTCATTAAACATTAATATTATCAAACAGCATATTTTTTGTTTTTATGTAATATTTATGTTGGCATACATGAAGGGAATAACTGTCACAAAATCTTAGTGTTTGAGTAGTCAATTAATTGATCTAATTCTATTAATTAATTCACATATGTAGTCATTTTTATCCTGTGAGTTGTTACACAGTTTTCTCTAAGCCTGGACTAATTTGGGGAGGGGAAAGAAGTCGATGTTTTTCTGTAAGAATTTTGGACTACAGATACTACACTTATAACATACCAGAGTATCAGTCATATTTCATCATTTGATTTCCATAGATTTCTGGATAATTCTTATTATTTTCAGAACCATATAAGTGTATACTTTCTCCTCTCTCTTTGAATGGCTATATTCTTAATTTGAGCTTATCATATAACCAAGATAATGAAGTAGTCTTCAGGAGTTGTGGATGCCAAAATATAAACACATGCTTCTAAGTAGAAAAGACAGTCATCGCTGACACATGAATTTAATTGTTCAGAGCAGATTCCATTCTTAGCAATCCACAGGAATGAATATACATCCATAGTTATGATTCAAAAATGTCAGTAATCATGTACTGGAGATTTACATACCTGTTCCAGGTAGGAGCATCAAACCAATACAATGTGTCCAGAATTGTGCTGTATGTTGAACTTTCCTTCTAGAAAGAGACCAGGTGCCACGCCACAGCAAAACCTAAAAATGAAACAGGGAAGGGGTAAGTTTAAAATAAGATAAAAGAACAACAAGTAGTACACTCAGATCACTGAATTGTGAGATGGAATATTAATTACATGATAGATTTCAAAAATGGAGATTTATCCCAGCATTTCCAAATATACTTCATCAAGAAATTATTTTATTCTATGACACCTGTTAGTATCCCGCTGAGGGCGCGATCCACAGCAGTTACTGGGGAAACAATGAGATGCTGTAACCTCCTGTTCAACACAAATGCCTCAGCTTATGGTTTCTGTCATATGGTCACCTGCCCTCAGAAACTTCCAATAATTGGCAGTATTTTATAAGCTTCCCCCAAAAATATGTACACATAACATACAGACATTTATATTATTAGGTTGATATAAAGCTGCTATGGTTTTGTATAGAATGACTGTCCTTTTCAAAACTCATACTGAAATGTAATTGCCAGTGTCACAGTAGTAAGAGGTGGGACCTTTAAGAGGTGATTAAGCTATGAGGGCTGTGACCTCATGGGTGGGAGAATGCTGTACAAAACGTTGACTGTGTCTCCCTTCTCCCTCTTTTCCTCTTTTGCTTTTCTGCCTTCTGCCATGTGAAGACACAGCATTCTGCTTTGTGGTGACTCAGCAAGAAGGCCAGATACCGGTGCCTTGATCTTAGACTTCCCAGCCCCCAAAATTGCAAGGCAATAAATGTCTGTTGATTGT
Source organism: Homo sapiens (assembly GCF_000001405.40). Lineage (NCBI taxonomy): Eukaryota > Metazoa > Chordata > Mammalia > Primates > Hominidae > Homo > Homo sapiens. Next base: position 239,677,469 of record NC_000001.11, on the reverse strand, counting down.
GAATTACCCAGTCTGTGGTATTTTGTTATAGCAGCACAAAAAAAGACGCAACTAGGTATGAGTTCCCCCTAATGTTTTATGGCAAATAATTTAAGAATCACCCACTTTACCGATTCAACTTATTTCATGGCAACAAGTATTTGACATTCACTCATCATTTTGATCAATATTTACTAAGCAAATAATATGAAGCAGGTATTGGGTTAAAATATTAAGTAGAGGCTTGGTCTTGTTCTCAAAAAGCCAAGTCTAATGAGGGAAAGAGGCCAAGTTAGATGTAGATCACCCCCATTCAGGATGTGGAAAGCTAAATCATTGCCAGTTCAAGGAGCAGAGAGTTAGGTAAGAGGGTGACATCACAGAGCAGGGGGTCTTTAACCTGAGTCTTGTATGCAGTGTAGGAGAGTGATGGGCAGACAAAAGGAAATGGGATGGGGAGGGAGGAGAAAGAGATCTAGCCGTCATGCTCCCATGCAGGAGGCTGTGAAGGGGAATGGCATGTTCTGAAAGCTGCCCCAGTGGGGGCTCAGAACAACAGGAGGAAAATCAAACTTATGCACACGATGTGGCAGAACATCCTTTTATAGATTTAAATGACTGCAAATCAGATTAACTGTACAAATGAAAGCATACACCCCAAGAATTTTCAGAATTTGAAACTCGTCCCGAAATCATTTGCACACATTATCTCATTCTGGTTTCACAATCTCCCTACAGGTTGGGCAGTGTAAGTTCACCCCTACCATGTGCTAGGGGAACTGAGGTTAAGGAGCTTGCCCAATACCACAGGGTGATTTGTGCAGCCTTGGAGTAGTGGCTAAAACTGGGGCCAGTCCCCCTTACAACACAAGGAGAGCTGTGATGCCAGGGTTCTTGAAGAAGTTAAGTGTGGCACAATGATGAATGTGGTATGACCATGATATACACTATTTCTTGACAGTGAATGCTTTGCTGTTACATGCTGCAGAGTGGGCTCTGGGCAGAAATGGACTGTTTCCAATCTCACCCTTCCTGTTTCCAATATCATAAATGCAAGCATGGGGCAGACACACTCAACTATGATCAGGTCCACATTTTTTCACCTTGTGAGTTTCAATAATAGACTTCTCTGTAATACACATGGCAGGCATGGCAGGCTACTTTGTACTGTCCAGCAACTACAGAAAAACTGGTCATTCTGTCTGAATCCAGCTGTGTATGATCCTCAAATTTCCCCTGCAGACTTAATTGTTATCTATGAGCTTCTCTCAAGCCTTGTGATGTCCACCTCTGAAATCCTTAGTACTTTAGTAACTTTGCTGGTGCAGCGTCTGGGGCAAGGGTCTTTGATGCTGACAAGAAGTTAGAACTGTCTTGTCTATTCAGGTAGAAAAAGAAGCTAGCACTCATTTGTAACAGGCGAAAACAGGGATAGTGGGCATGGATATGCGGGGAAAGCAGGCTTAAAAATGCAAAAAGGAAGAAACCTTCTCTCTGACACTTAATGAGAGAAGGCTCATGTAAAATAATATCTAAAGGAGCCTCTGGGATTCTCCAGAGTTGTGAAATACAGTTGCTGAAGCTGGGAAGATTGCAGAGGAATTTTTTACCTTCCTTTTCCCTCCCTCCCATGTTTTCTTTTAAACTCCTAAAGTGGAACTGCTTAGAATATTTCCTACACAGCTCAATATCTTATCATGAAGGTGAGAGACTAGAAAATCTTTTGGCAGCCCCCAAACTGCCTCACCCTCATGAAAGAGGATAGAATTTGATATTTTTAATGCTTTTCCAATTGAAAAACTGTATGCTTGTTACAGGCTTTCTGATACCTTATAACATATTAGAAATTACTTTTGGCTTTAAAGAAGAGTGATTGCTTTCAAAGACAGTTTCTGCTACAAATTCCCTCAAGATAAAAACCAATTTCCAGACAACAATGAGCAATAATGCCTAGAAAACAGACACTGGGTATGAGACAGACAAAATCCAAATGGCAGTACCATTCCAAAATGTAACTTCTAGCAATGGTCTTGTCTTGCAATTCTTGACAAACTACACTTGTTATCACAAGAATTAAGCTTGTTGTTCTTGGGTAGGATGCAACAAATAGAAGATTAAACTGAAGTATTATCTGAAACCAAGACAAAGAAGCAGAAAAACAAGTCAAAAAGTCTCTGAGAAACCTAATGGGCACAAGCTTGGATAAGATTTTTAAAAGAGAAATTGGACTGTACGAAGCATTCAAAAATGAGCAATTTATGAAAATGTATTTATTCTGAATGTACTTCCCATTTGGTTGGGTGAACACAAGAAAACTCACAGGGTGAACAGAAGTGACCTCAGTGATTTGCAATCTAATTAAGCACTTGCTATTGAGAGATCAGGTTTCTAGAGAACATTGATAATTGACCCCTATTAACATAAATTCTGGCATGAGAAAATGGAGTCTAGAAAACCTTGTATCAAAAGAACTCGAATGGATAATCCATGCAAGAAGAAGTCAGGAGTGGGAGGGAAGGTAGATAAAATTAGAGAAGCAGAGACAGCGAGGAGGAGTAATAATTTCCTGTATGGCCACGAACACACCAGGTATTGATTAATTCACCAAATCGTTTCAACAGTCTTGTAAAGGAGACACCATTGTTGCCAATTTACCATTGAAAAAATTATTTTTGTGAGAGGCTCATCCACTTAGCATACAACAGGAAATGGCCTGAGTTGGGATTTGAATTGCTTGTCTGATACTTAAGTGATTTTTCTTTCTTTTTTTTTTTTTTTTTTGAGATGGAGTCTCAGTCTGTCGCTCAGGCTGGAGTGCAGTGGCGCAATCTTGGCTCACTGCAAGCTCTGCCTCCTAGGTTCACACCATTCTCCTGCCTCAGCCTTCAGAGTAGCTGGGACTACAGGCGCCCGCCACCAAGCCCAGCTAATTTTTTTGTATTTTCAGTAGAGATGGGGTTTCACCGTGTTAGCCAGGATGGTCTCGATCTCATGACCTCGTGATCCCCCCGCCTGGGCCTCCCAAAGTGCTGAGATTACAGGCATGAGCCACCGCGCCCAGCCAGTGATTTTGCTAATTAAGCCACACTAATGGTCAAATGGTAAGTACAATGTACATTAACTGCAAGTATAATGAACAAAAAATGAAGATGACATTTGCAAAAAGAACTAATAAATTTATATTTTCTAGTGGTCCTATAAATATGTACAGCCCATCAAATCACCAGTCTGACCCATACCTATATTAAGAGTCCTTAAATATATTCATATCTGTGGACCTAGTAATCCCACTCACAAATTATTCCACGGAAATAATTTAAAGTCAAAAAAATGGCGTTCCTAGGAAAATGATCACCGTAACATTACAGGTTGAGTGTTCTTTATCTGAAATGCTTGGGATCAGAAGTGTTTCAGGTTTCTGATTTTTTCAGATTTTGGAATATTTGTACTTGTTGGGCATTCCTAACCGAAAAATCCAAAAATGTGAAATGCTCCAGGTAGCATTTCCTTCGAGTGTCATGTTGGTGCTCAAAAAGTTTTGGATTTTGGAGTGTTTTAGATTTTGGAGTGTTTTAGATTTGGAGTGTTTTAGATTAGGGTTGCTGATCTGTATTTATAATAGTGAATAATAGAAACTATTTGTGTATCGAACAGGAAAGCATTTAAGAAAATGTAGGTATAGAAATTGCATGGTGCATTAAGTAGCCATAAGTGATAAATAGGTAGCAACAAGGAAAATGATAACAAAAGCAGAATATAAAATTATATGCTCTGATGATAAATAGATACTATATATATGTTAATGAAAACTAAAAGGATGCTCAGAAAAAAAAGAAATTAGTTGTTCTAGGGCAGAGTAATTATAAATACATTAAAATCATAATCTCATTCTTATAATGTACTATTAAATTATACCCATTAAAATATACGTTGAATGAAAATATAGACACAGAAATAAAAAGCAAACATAGCTGATATATGTGTTTGCATGGTTAAATAGTTTCCAGCATATACAATATTATTTTGTTACTTTATTAACTATTTGATATTGGAGGAGGGGTGAAGGAGAGACACTTAGAGAGTATGATGAAAATCAATTTCTTATAATAACAAGAGTTAATGGGAAAAAAGATTACAATAATAGGAAGATTTGTTGACAGAATTGCTATTGCATATGACTTTAAACGCGTGATCAGCAATCTTCCACTCTGCATTGCACATTTCACCTTCTCACCTTCCCTCCATCCCATTCCTACCCCATTCTCTGGACAAGGACGGAGCTAAAGAAAAGAACTGAGCTGCAGAATTCTCCCACTCCTTCATTCTCTGCTTGAAGGCATCAGGCCATGGCCCAGACACGTTCTCCAGCTCCGGGAAGCCATTCTGTCTTCTGCTGGGCAGGAAGAACGTGCATTTGAAGAAACCGAAGCTAATTTGGGGGTGCTGCTTCTGTCTCATGTAGGAAGAATGGTAAACCAGAAGATGTTCATCATGAGTCTCACATGGTGCCCTAATCACATCTCTCTAGTCTTGGGCTCACTGATAGTTTTAGGCAGTACATTCTAACATCTGGTGCTTCAAAAAATCTCGTGTCTTTTAGACATGATAGGAAGGTGGGGAAACTGCACTACCCACCTCCTGGGTTAACAGTTCTTAGAAAACACAGGCACTCCCTAAGTTTATAAATCTTACAAACCATTTGAAATTCACAAACCCTTGCCCCTCCCCCTGCATTATGCTTATACTTGCATGTATTAAAAAGAAACACAAAGTTAAATGTAATTCAGGCACCGTTTGATCTCCTTTGGATAAGTTAGCCTCTTAACCTTCCTTTCCCATTCTTTCTCCCCTACCCCTTTCTGTGTGTGTGTGTGTGTGTGTGTGTGTGTGTAGTGGGAAGAAAGAGACATGGTTTAAATGAACTCAGGAACAGAAGAAAGAGTCTGTGTCTCCAGAATTTGATTATCTTCTCTGATCTATGGCATGTGGCTCCTTATCCATCTGGGTGCTCCTAGCCCTGCTGACATTGACAGTGAGGTTTATCACTTGCATGCATGCCATTTGCATTTTCTTGACCTAGTAAGCTTGGGTCGACATCTCTGTTCTTGGTCTCATCTTGTCTCCTGCTGACAAGGAGGCCTTTTCTGAAGCCTTTTCTGAGGTCTTGTCTCCTGCTGACAAAAGGAAGCCTTTTCTGAGGTCTGCTCACAGAGCCCTAGAGTGCTGCAGCCCCCAGGACAGAGCCGCCTTCATCCATATGATGGCATCCCGTCCTCATTGCCAAGTCCTCTAGCTATCTTGGGGTCCCACCTACGTCACACTGGAAAGTAACTTGTAAGGCTTTCCTCTGACTGACAGGCTGAACTTCCAAGTTCACTAAAACATCAATAGAGGGCTACATGTGAAATGGATCCCTGTCTTGTGCATAACTCATCTTTACCAACATGCCTTTCATTCTCTGGGATAAAATTCCAGGTGGAAAAGCTGGGAGGCATGATTCAGACTGCTTTGTCTCCTCCCTTTCACTGTCATTCTTGTTTTGCAGAATTCACCAAATTCAGCAAGGAAGCATGATTTTCCTTTTCTTTCTTGGTGACATATTCTCCTACCACCAGAGACTGAGGCTAGATGTAATCAGTTGAAGAATTCTCTTCCATACATTCTGACTTGAGTTTTCCAGGCTTGGCCCTTGATAAACTAAAAAAAGAATTTAGAAATTATTTCTCAAAAACTACTCTGGATTTCCAATTATATCCAAGGCAGAGTAACAGGATGAAATGTAACCTACACCCCACCTCACCTCCTCAAAAAAAAAAAAGTAAAATAAAATAACTGTTTTCAATAATGGGACAACAGGCAGTGCATAACTGTGGTAAATGTGAGAAGGAAAAGCTGCATCTGGGCCTTTTTTTTCTTTTTGACATGATCTTGCTCTGTCACCCAGGCTGGAGTGCACTGGAGTGATCCTGGCTTGCTGCAGGCTTCACCTCCTAGGCTGAAGGGGGTCCTCCAACCTCAGCCTCCCCAGTAGCTGGGACTATAGAGTGCACCACCATGTCCAGCTAATTAATACAAAATGTAGAGATGGGGTCTTCCTCTGTGGACCAAGCTGGTCTCAAACTCTGGACTCAAGTGATCCTCTCTGTACGGTCTCCCAAGGTGTTGGGATTACAGGGTGAGCCACTGCGCCCAGCCTGGGCTTTTTATTTTGAAGAAATTTCTGGAAAATGGGTAGAGACAAGAGAACCCACAGTGAGTTTGGTTGCCTCACTGAGTTGAAGAAATGGTTGATTAGAATTTGAGGAGTCTAGTAATCCTATGAAAAAGATGCTAAACAAAATTAGTGATTAGGAAAATGCAGATGAAAGCCACAATAAGATACTATCCCATACCGTAAGAATGGCAAAATTAGAACAACATAATACATCTATGTTGGCAGAGACGGGAAGCAACTATAACTCTCATACACTGCTGATGGGAATGTAATGTGGTACAACTACTTTAGAAAACACACAATGGAAAATTTATTATGTAGCTAAACACATATTTAATATATACTGCTGAGCAATTATACTCCTACTTATTCACCAAAGAGAAGTGAAAAATACAAGTCTACTCAGAAACTTGCATATGAAGTTCACAGAAACTATCCACAGTCACCCCAAACTGGGAAAGAAAAAACTCAATTATCCCACTTTGGGAAACTGAGGTGGGGGGGGTAGATCACCTGAGGTTGGGAGTTCGAGACCAGCCTGATCAACATGGTGAAACCTCATCTCTACTAAAAATACAAAAATTAGCTGGGTGTGGTGGAGCACGCCTGTAATCCCAGCTGCTTGGGAAGCTGAGGCAGGAGAATCTCTTGAATCTGGGAGGCTCTTGAATCTGGGAGGCAGAGGTTGCAGTGAGCCGAGATTATGTCACTGCACTCCAGCCTGGGCGACAGAGTGAGACTCTATCTCCATAAAAACAAAAACCAAAAAACAATTATCCATCAGATGGGCTGGAGAAGCAAAATGTGATACTGTCATGCAATGGAATCTTAAAGATGCAATACAAAGTGATGAACTACTGATGTTCACAATATATGTAAATTTCAAAAACACACTGTGCAAAAGAAGTCAGACACAGAAATATTTTACCTATGATTTTATTTTTATAAAGCTCTAGAAAAAAGAAATAGAGACTATGGGCCAGAAAGCAGAAAAGCATTTTTCCTGGGGCTTGGGGTGGGGGTGGCATGTGTTTACAGCAACTAGGAAGAGGTATAAGAGAACTTGGCGTGATGGTGAAAATATGTTAGGGCTTGATTTAGTGGTAGCAACATGGTAGATAAACTTCTCTAATCTCATCCAAATATACACTAAAGATGAGCGCTTGTTATTGCACATGTATTATGCCTTAATATAGTTGATTAAAACAAAACCTTAACTGGCTTCTTATTATTTTATAATATCAGACTGATCTCTTAAAATCTCGTATTTCAAGAGTCATCTTTAATATTGAATATTAATTTAGTACATGCAGAGATATTTTTGTCTTGTGTTTGTTTCTAAAATAATCCAGCATTTGTGGGAAAGGAGGGCCATGTAAAAGAAACGAGTTGGCCATGGCCATATATTGCTAATTATTGAAGCTGCAAGATGGGTATAGTGGGTTGATTATAGTATTCTCTCTGCTTTTGAATATGCTTGTAACTTTCTATTCAAAACCTTTTTTAATACAGTGGATTGCATTTTAAATGACAATATTATAATTAGTATATTAGAATGAGGTGTCTGGTATAACCCCTTCCACGTTATTATCCCCTGGTCATGTATAAAGTCTTTCTGGGTCTTTCTAACTTTTCTGTCATTCTAGAATTTTTTTCCCCTTTTATCTTTTAGTCAACAGTCCCTTTCAGCTTAGAATCAACTTGGGTGACACGTGTAGGTCAAGACCTGAAAAATTTGAGGAAAATTAGTTAAATCTGAGTCTGGTTCTTTATATTAAACAATAATGATATTTAGTGCTCTTAACCATTTCATCGAGCAAAGTATTAAGAAAACAAAACAGTAATGCCAGGCCTGCAGAAATAAATCCCTTTTTAAGGAAAAAATAAAACAACAACGTGTAGAGAAATGCCACTTTGTTAACTGGGTGAATAACAACTTGTCCTTACAAGTTGTCTGAAACAGAACAAAGAAGTCAAATTCACATAACAAAGACAAAGAAAGGAGCGTATAAAAAGTTTAAAAGGGAAAGAATATTGGACTTAATTATTTTTACCCTACCTTTCCCTTTTAAGGCATTAGAAATCTCGCCTAACTTCGGGGAACGCTGGCTCCAAGCTAAGAGTCATGTGAGTAGGGTTTGTGTCCAGGAGTGCACAGCCTATTCCAGCCCCGGCACCAAGGATCAACAGGCTCCACACCATGCTGACAGTGCCTCAGGGAATTTTCGGGGAGATGGAAGCTCAGGATGAAGTCGCTCAGAAAAGAAATTGATTAAGGACGCAGAAAGAAGATAGTGTTCAACTAT